>NC_000015.10:24792025-25095055 GCF_000001405.40 Homo sapiens | reverse complement strand
TAATGACAAATAGGAAGAGACATGAACTCCTCCGCCACTGTGTTAAATTATTGACATGGTGGGTAAAATGGAAAACAAAGAGGCTCTGCAGAGAGATGCTTAGGGAGCCCACAACCACAGCCCTCCAAACTGGGGAGTCTTCTGTGGCTGCAGAAGCAGAAGCTCCAAGTCCCACCTGCTGAAGTCAGAAATGGAGAAAAAAAGAGGAAAAAAAAAGAAAAAAGGAAAATCAAGCAGAGCCACTTTCCTCAAACTGGCTGGGGCTCCAGGTGGCCTGTGGTGGCAGCAGTGGCAAAAAATCAGTCAGACTCCACCTGGCAAGGCGAAGGGGCAGCAGAAGTGGGACACACGGTGAGGAGCACAGGCCACGCCAGGTACATGGGGCTCATGCAGGCAGATAGCGTGCTTCGCTTGCTTTTGCAGGCATTCACCTTGGAGGGCCAAAAAAGGACCTTTCAGGTTCTCCCTAATGGATATATGCACACCCTACTATTTACTATGGTTTATGGCCAGAGGCCTGGCCATCTTGGGTGATATGCCTAGCATTCACTGGGAACATTATGTGGATAATATTCTACTGAATTCCACAAATTTAAGTCTTCTGAAGAAACCAACTTCCTCTAAGGGATGAGGGAATGCAGAGCTAGGACAAGTCAAACCTCGCTGTGCAGAGACAGGCTGCCATCTAACTCTTCCTGTGCCACCTGCACATTCACCTGCTCCTGCATAGTTATGTGTGCTACCCTGCTCTCACAGAGGTAAATCCTTCACACAAGGAATCTCCTGTGCACAGGAGGCCGCACTCCCCTGTGACTCCCTTTGCCCAAAGGGGACCCCATCCTAAGCCTGGACAAACCCCTCAATGGAACCTGCGTCAACAAATGGAAGTTTTCCCTCTCTATCTACCCACTGTTGGAGCAATGTGCTGGACCTCAGTTCAACGAAGATGACGGTATAGAGTTTTCACTCATTTTGTTCAGCTTTCCAAGGAATGCATGTATAAAAGTCATCATCGATCCATGCACAGTCTTTGTACCTACAAAGATGGAATATCAGAAGATTTTGGAAAATGGACATTTACCATCCTGAGGGATCCACCAGCACCTGAAGAAGCCCACGCCACATATGCTGCACGTGCCCAGGGGCTCCCCACCATCTCCAGGAATCTCCCAAGACAAAGATGATCCATCGCAGCCTCTGGCCTTCTTCCATGCCAGACCACCTAGGAATTAGAGGCAAAACAGGTGTGCTTGAGAAAGGCAAGCAGGTACACAGGTCTCAAGGGCCATGCCATTCATTCCCTTGTGGTGCATCCTGTATCTACTTCCCACAGGCTACTACAGAAGGAACCAGAGGCACTATAATTCATGGGTGTGGTCTGGTTTAGCAACACCTAAGTTTTGCTGACAGCCGTGAGTGACAAGATACAAACAAACCCACTGCTTCATGCAGTTAAAAATAACAACAAACCTCTGTAGGTCTGCAATGCTTGTAACTAAGTTCTGGTATTCCAAGAACCATTGCCAGTGATCAAGGAACATATTTCAAAGGCTCACTAATCCAAGATTGGGCAGAAATGTAGAATATGACCTGGCAATTTCATCTGTGCTACAAACCACAGAAAGCAGAATTTATAGAAAAGAAAACGGTGTCTTAAAGAAACAAATTAAACTCTTGAGAGAAATCCTTGCACTTAAAACCTGAAGGATGGTTCCATGGAAGCTACACATGGCAGGAATGAGGCCCCCTGTGTAAGAGAAAAGTTGGCCTGTGAATGTCTGCTGGACATAAAGAGTCCAGTGGGAGCCTTGTGGATATAGAAAATTATCCAACACTGCCTTGATACTGGACACAAGTCCACATGGGATACCCTAATTTTGTGCTCTCCCTGTCACACAACCCCCAGGCAGTGAATCCTGCAATAAGATTTAGGAAGAAAACTGCCTTTGACCTTAGGCAGGAGGTCAACACTGCCCCAAAACCGACCTCTAACATACTTCTTATTAAAGGGCCCCAAGAGAGGTATCCACAATGACCAGACAGTGCCCCCAAAACAATAGAAATTCCAGTAGCACTAGGATAGCAGAATGACTCAGACTTAGCACTGCAGGGAGTATGAGTACAACCACAAGGACATAAAATATCTAAAAAAGACCTCCTGAAAGTTTCCAGATCACTGAGATTATTGCAGAAAGAGATGCATACCAGACTTCAAACATAGGAGAGAATAGGGTCACTTACGTAAACCAATATATTTTGGTTTTGCCACTGTTCACTTGAGCTACCATCCACACTGCTGTTACATCACCACACTTAATGTTGGGATAACCACAACATTTTTTTTTCTGATATCGACCTGATATACTCCAATAAAATGTTCCCTGGAGAAAAACACGTGTGACTGGGGATGGAGCAAAGACTGTCAGGAAACAAAAGCAATCTGCTGAAAGGCCCTCCCATGTAGACATCAGATCATATTCCATTCCCAGCACCCTAAGGCCAACATGGCATTTGTGATGTGCAGTACACACCATGCAAAACAGACGCGCAAATGTGGCGGACCATCCCCATCTTAGGGTACCAAGTCAACACATGTATGGCGCTTTCTCATTCCCACCTGGAGTATCCATCACCAGCCATGGGATTTCAGTTTCTCCCTGGAGACACACAAATCATAAATGGAGCCGATCTACAGGGTACTCTCCAGAAAGAAAATAAGCATCACCAACCTCCTCACAACTGACTTCCACTGCTGCTACGAAAACACCATGGGCACTAAAAAGTCCTCAGCCATGAAAAAAAATGAGCCAAAGAACAACAAAGATGTGGCCTTGGGCTCTCTTCCCAACCACAAGGAGCTATCTACCTCTGGGGAACAAGGGAACCCAGAGCCAGCACTCAAGGACAAACCTGGCCACACAGAGGCGGGTTACCGGCTAACTCTTCTGTGCCACCTGCACATTCACCCAGTCCTGCAGACATTGTGCGTGCTACCCAGCCTCACAAAGAGAAGTCCTTCACACAAGGAATCTCCTCTGCACAGGAGCACCTACTGCCCTGTGACTCCCTTTGATCCAAAGTGGACCCCATCCTAAGCCTGGATGGATGGCTTAGTGCAACCCACATCAACCAATGGAAGTTGTCTCTCTCTCTCCAGCTCCAGTTGGAGCCACGTGCTGGACCTCAGTTTGACGAGGACGACGGTATAGAGTTTTCACTCATTTTGTTCAGCTTTCCAAGGAATGCATGTATTGAGGTCATCATCGATCCATGCACAGTCTTTATCCCTGCAAAGAAGGAACATCAGGGGCTTTTGGAAAATGGACATTTACCAACCTGTGGGATCCACCAGCACCCAACAGAGATCACATTCCACATGTCAAGGGGCTCCCTGCCCTCTCTAGGGATCTCCCAAGATGAAGACTGTCCCTCGTAGCCACTGGCCTTACTTCCATGGCCACAACACCTGGGAAGTGCAGAGGAAAAACGGGTGTGCTTAAGAACGGGAGGCAGGTACACATGTCAAAAGGGCCATTCCACTCGACTCACTGTGGTATATCCCATATGTGCTTCCCACAGGCTACTCCCCTTTTGGGATGGGTGTATGGGTCTACCCAGGAATGAAGATAGCAGGCACGTGTTAATTTTGAAGGCACCATCAAGCTACAGAGCCCTAAGTGTAAGAACTCTCTCAAAACCACTCATTTGCCATCACTGACTCAAAAGCCCTCCTCTTGGTCATCAGAGAAGACACAAGCCACAGGGCTATTTAAATGAGGAGAGTTTTGGGGAAAAACTCTTCCAGTACAAAAGGCAATTTTCCTTCAGTCTTGAAGACTTTTCACCCTGGGCTGCTTGAACACTTTTCAGATTGAGAAAAACGTTCAATAACAACTTAACCTCTACCTCAGCGTCTTCCTCACAGGTGCAGCTCAGAGGACCACCAGACACACTGAATCCCACATGGCTTCTAAGGCACTGTGGCTGAGAACACCATACATTTTAAGGCACTTGCCTTTGAACATGGCCGCGCAGTGCAAAACCTATGCATCACTGCCTGTGGATACCAGCCCTGTCCTACAACAAGATGACTATTTCACAAAGAAGACTCCTGGGAAGAATTAGGAGGAATTAGAAAATAACCTAACATCACGAGCTACTAAGGTATTTAAGCACAGAGACCTTCCTGGACCATGTTTCCGAGTAGAGATCACCAGGATATGGGAAGTCACACTCTTATAATCGGGCACGTTGACTGCATCGAGGTGCCTGAGTGGTTCAGAGGCAAAGTATGCACAACCTACGATAGGTAGAAACCCTGGGCCGATATAAGCTCAAATGCCTAATGGAGACAAGCATCTCACAGAGGGTCCTGAACACAGACCTTCCAAACCAAGTCAGTCTGAGGAGTTGCAGAAGCACGTGGACCCGCAATCACATTCCTGTCCCAGCACCCCGAGGTCATCATGAAATGAAATGGGGGCCTGCTACAATGCCCGAAAGAGGCCCACAGTCATCACTCCATGACCCACATGGAATATGCTGTCCAGTACATGCACATGCAGACCTCTCCCCTTCCCACTGCCAGGACCCTTCAGGGGCCATGGGACTGGTTTCCTCCTATGGATATACAAGTTCAACATGGATACCCTCTCTGGCTCCTCTGCAGAAAGCAAATCAGCATCAACATCCTCCTGAGGACTGCCTGCCCTCAATGCTACCTAAACACCATGGGAACTGCCACGTCCCCAAATGAGGGTGAAAGTGAACCAAAGAAGTGCACAGGAACAACATTGTGTGGTGTCCCCATGCAGAAGCCACTGTCTTCCTCTGGGGAGTGCAGGAGCCAAGGAGTTTGAATCAAGGACACACATAGCTGCGCAGAGGGAAGTGCTTCAACTAAGCTGTCTCTCAGCCACAGAAGTCCAAAATGCCCAGCTACTCCACTTCACCCAAAGACGACCCCATCCCAAGTGTTGACACAGCCCTTGTCAACAAACGGATGTTGTCCCTCTCTCTAGCCCCTGATGAGCAGTATGCTGGACCTCAGTTCGACGAGGATGACGGTATAGAGTTTTCACTCATTTTGTTCAGCTTTCCAAGGAATGTACATATGGAAGTCATCATCGATCCAGTCCTTGCCCCTGCAAATGAGGAAAATCAGCATGCTTTAAGAAGGAATCACTTACATTCAGGAGGGATCCAACAGCCTCCGAAAGAGCCCACACTCCATGTGTCCCGGGACTTCTGCCATCTCCCAGGATCGCATGAGACGACAATCATCCCTTGCTGATGTAAGCCTGCTTTTTATACCAACACCACCGGGGAGGTGCAGAGAAAACATGGACGTGCATCAGAAAGGCAGGCATGTGCACAGGTTCCAAGGGCCATGTCATCCAGCTCCCTGCAATACATCTGCTGTCTGCCTGTCTCTGGCCTCACCTGTTCATAAACACAGAAGTTAACGGACACAAGGATGCTCATCTGGGGGTCAGGAGCCTTCAGAGTACGTCATCCCACTAAAGAGCATGTTCAGCATCCTTCTCAACATCGTTGCTTCAATACCTACAATGATACTCACAAAAGCCTTGGGACCCTGGGCCCCTAATGAGAAAGGCTTTAACCTATATTGGGTTTAGGATAAGCCAGGGACTCCTTGGGTATCAGAAGCAATGAGCAGGAGCTCACTAGTTCATGCAATGTACATGTCCCCCAAACACATGGGATACAACACGGGCACACAGGCACATAGGCTATGCCTGGTGACCAAAACTCTAATGTCCTCAACCAAGGACAAAGTTAGCCAACAAACGACAAAGATGTGGCCTTGTATTCTCCTCCCAACCAGACAAATCTGTTTCCTTCCAGGAACTCAGAACAAGGACTCAAGAACAAATTGGCAACCAGAGGCGGGCTACCAGCTAACTCTTGCTAGGCCACATGGACATTCACCTAGTCCTGCAGACAATGCATGTGTTACCCACCCTCACTGACAGTCCTTCAAACAAGAAATTTCCTATACATGGGAGCCACCACTCTCCTGTGACCCCCATCACCCATAAAAGACCCCATCCTAAGCCTGAACGGATGCCTTGGTATAACCCATGTCAAAAAACAGATGTTGGCCCTCTCTGTCTAGCCCCTGTTGGAGTAATGTGCTGGACCTCAGTTCGACGAGGATGACGGTATAGAGTTTTCACTCATTTTGTTCAGCTTTCCAAGGAATGTATATGTGGAAGTCATCATCGATCCACGCACAGTATTTGTCCCTGCAAATGAGGAAACTCAGAGTGCTCTGGGAAAGAAGTGCTTACATTCAGAAGGGATCCAACAACTTCCGAAGGAGCCTTTGCCATTTGTGTCCAGGGGCTTCCTGGTATCTCCGCAGCTCACACAAGGTAACAATTGTCCCTCACCAACATGTGCCTGCCCTCCATGCCAGTGCTACCTGGGAGGTGCAGAGTTAACACAGGCGTGCTTCAGAAAGACAGACAGGTGCACAGGTCACGAGGGCCATGTCATCCAGTCCCCTGCAATTTATCTACTATCTGCCTGTCTCTGGCCTCCCCTGTTCATGGAGGCAGAAATGCATGGATGCAGGGATGCTCGTCTCGGGGCTGGGGGCCCCTGCAGTACACCATCCTGCTAAAGAGCACTGACATTGACCATCCCTCTCAACATCACTGCTTCAACGCCTGCAATGCCACTCACAAAAGCCTTGCGGCCCTGAACCCCTAAGGAGGAAGGCTTTAACCTACCATGAGTTTAGGATAAGCCAGGGACTCCTTTGGTATCAGAACCAGCTTGGAGCAGGAGCTCACCTTTACGTGCAAAATACATGTCCTCAAAACACGTGGGATACAACACGGGCACAAAGGCACATAGGCTATGCCTGGTGACCAAAACTCTAATGTCCTCAACCAAGGACAAAGTTAGCCAACAAATGACAAAGATGCGGCCTTGTACCCACCTCTCAACCACACAGATCTGTTTTCCTCCGTGGGACCTGAGAACCCAGAACAAGGACTCAAGAACAAATTGGCAACCAGAGGCGGGCTACCAGCTAACTCTTGCTAGGCCACATGGACATTCACCTAGTCCTGCAGACAATGCATGTGTTACCCACCCTCACTGACAGTCCTTCAAACAAGAAATTTCCTATACATGGGAGCCACCACTCTCCTGTGACCCCCATCACCCATAAGAGACCACATTCTAAGCCTGAACAGACGCCTTGATATAACCCATGTCAACAAACGGATGTTGGCCTTCTCTGTCTAGCCCCTGTTGGAGTAATGTGCTGGACCTCAGTTCGACGAGGATGACAGTATAGAGTTTTCACTCATTTTGTTCAGCTTTCCAAGGAATGTATATATGGAAGTCATCATCGATCCACACACAGGTTTCATCCCTGCAAATGAGGAAACTCAGGGTGCTTTGGAATGAAATCACTTACATTCAGGAGGGTTTCAACAGCCTGTGAAAGAGTCCACACCATGTGTTTCCAGGGGCTTCCTGCCATCTCCAAGAATCAGACAAGATGACAATCATTCCTCATGATACAAGCCTGCCTTTCATGCCAACACCACCTGTGAAGTGCAGAGGAAACACAGGCGTGCTTCAGAAAGGCAGACAGGTTGCACACGTCACGAGGGCCATGTTATCCAGTCCCCTGTGACACATCTGCTATTTGCCTGTCTATGGCCTCGCCTGTTCATGGACACAGAAATGCATGGACACGCAGATGCTCGTCCCAGGGCCAGGGGCCCTCGAGGTGCACCATCCTGCTAAAGAGCACTGATGTTGGGCATCCCTCTCAACATCGTTGCTTCAACACCTGCAATGGTGCTCACAAAAGCCTTGGGGCCATGAATCCTGAAAGAGGAAGCCACTGACCTAAATCAGGTTTGGAATAACCCAGAGACTCCTTGCCTGACAGCCCCAGCTTGGAGCAGAAGCCTGCCTGATCATGCAATACACAAATCCTCATAACATATGGGATATGACATGGAAATGCGGCAAAGAGGCTATGCTGGGTGCCTGGAAATACAACGTCCTCCGCCAAGGACAAAACAAGCTAACAAGTGAGAATAGTGTAGGCTTGTGCTCTCCCCGCAACCAGGGGATCTGTCTTCCTCTGGGAATCCAGAGCTTGGACTCAAGAACAAACTTGGCCACCAGAGGCAGACTACCCACAAACTCTTTCCATGCCACCTGCCATTCACCTAGTCCTTCAGACAGTAGGTGAGTTATCCCGCCCAGGGAGAAAGAAGTCCTTCAAATAAGGAATTTCCTGTGCATGGGAGCTCCCACTTCCCTGTGACTTCCAATTGCCCAAAGGGACCCCATCCTAAGCCTGGATGGACCCCTTGATGCAACCCATATCAACAAACGAATGTTGGCCCTCTCTGTCTAGCCCCTGATGGAGTAATGTGCTGGACCTCAGTTCGACGAGGATGACGGTATAGAGTTTTCACTCATTTTGTTCAGCTTTCCAAGGAATGTATATATGGAAGTCATCATCGATCCACGCACAGTGTTTGTCCCTGCAAATGAGGAAAATCAGAGCGCTCTGGGAAAGAACTGCTTACATGCAGAAGGGATCCAACAACTTCCAAAGAAGCCTTTGCCATTTGTGTCCAGGGGTTTCCTGGTATCCCTGCGGCTCACACAAGATAACAATTGTCCCTCACCAACATGGGCCTGCCTTCCATGCCAATGCTACCTGGGAGGTGTAGAGGAAACACAAGCGTGCTTCAGAAAGGCAGACAGGTACACAGGTGACAAGGGCCATGTCATCCAGCCCCCTGCGATACATCTGGAATCTGGCTGTCTGGCTTCAACTATTTATGGACACAGAAATGCACGTACATAGGGATGCACGTCTGGGTTCAGGGTGCCCTTATAGTGCATCATCTCGCTAAAGAGCACTAATGTTGAGCATCCCTCTCAACACCCTTGCTTCCACACCTGCAATGCAGCTCACAATAGCCTCGGGGCCATGCAATCCTACTGGGAAGACTTTGATCTACACCGGGATCAGGATAAGCCAGAGTCTCATTGCCTATCAGACTCAGCTTGGAGTGGCAGCCTATGTGTTCATGCCACATGCATGTGCTCACAATGCATGGGACACAACATGGGCACGCTGGCCTGAAAGCTATGCCTGCTGACCACAACTTCATTGTCCTCAATGGACGATGAAATGAGCAGAAAAACAACAAAAGTATGGTACTGTGCTGTCTTCTCAAGCAAAATCACCTATCCTCCTCCAAGGAACATGGAAATCCAGAGCCAGGACCCAAGGACAAACTGCCATGCAGAGGCAGGCTACAGGCTAACTCTTCCTGGGCAACTGCACATTCACCTACTCCTGCGGACAGCATGTGTGGTACCCTGGCCTCACAAATAGAGTCCTTCAAACAAGGAATCTCCTGTGTACATAGCCTCCACTCCCCTGCCATTCTCCTTTGCCCAAACGAGACCCCATCCTAAGCCTGGACAGAACCCCTTGGTGCAATGGGCATCATCAAATGAAATTTGTCCCTCTCTCTCTAGCCCCTGTAAGAGCAATGTGCTGGACCTCAGTTCGACGAGGATGACGGTATAGAGTTTTCACTCATTTTGTTCAGCTTTCCAAGGAATGTATATAAGGAAGTCATCATCGATCCAGGCACAGTCTTTGTCCCTGCAGAGGAGGAATATCTGGAGCTTCTGAGAAATGGACACTTACCATCCTAAGGAATCCACTAGCACCTGAAGGAGCCCATGCCACACATATCAAGGGACTCCCTATCATTTCCAGGATCTCCCAAGACCAAGATTGTCCCTCGTGGCCACTGGCCTTCCTTCTATGCCCACGCCACCTGGAAAGTTCAGAGGAAAAACAGGTGTGTTTGACAACAGCAGGCAGGTACACACATTGCAAGGGCCATACAATTCATCCCACTGTGGTGTATCGTGTATGTATCTCCCACAGGCAGCCCCTCTTACTGGGACATGTGCATGGGTGTAAGCAGGCATGAAGCTATCATGCACACAATAATTTTGAGGGCTCCTTCCAGCTACAGAGCACCAAGCATAACAAACTCTCTCAACACCATTCATTTGCCACCTCTGAATCAAAAGTCCTGCTTTTGGCCATCAGAGAAGATGAAGCCCATGAGGATATTTCAGTGGGGACAGGTTCAAGGAAAGCCTCTTCTTGAGTGAAGGGCAATTTTCCTTTGGTCCTGAAGTACTTTCACCCCAGGCTCCTTTGACACTCTTCCCACTGAGAAACATGCTCAATCACAAATCAACCTCCACCTCTGGGTTTTCCTCAAAGGTACAGCTCGGGGACCCAGAAGAGCACAAGACATGCTGAATCCTACAGGGCTTCCAAGGCACTATGACTAAGAACACCATACATCTTAAGCCACTTGGCTGTGAACATGGCTGTGGAGTCCAAAACTTATCCATCACTGGCCTACAGACACTAGCCCTGTCATACAATTCAAGGACAATTTCACAAAGACTTGTGTGAATTGTCACACACAATTAGGAGGAATTTGAAAATAACCTAACATCACAAGCCACTAAGGTATTTAAGCACAGAGACCTTGCTGGGTCACATTTCTGAGTAGAAGTCACCAGGATACAGAAACCCACACACTCATTATCAGACACCTCAAATGCACCAAGGAAAAGTATCCCACAGAGGTTCCTCAACACAGACCTTCCAAACCAAGTCAGTCTGCAGAGATGCAGGAGCACGTGGACCTACAATTACATTCCCATCCCAGCACCCTGAGGTCATCATGAAATGGACTATGGGCACCCTACAATGCCCGAAAGAGGCTCACAGTCGTCGCTCTGTGACCCAGACAGAAGGCTGTGTGGTACACGCATGCACGGCCCTCTCCCCTTCCACTGCCAGGATGCTTCAGGGGCCACGGGACTTGGGTTTCCCCCTCCTATGGACATACAATTCAACGTGGATACCCTCTCTGGGCTTCTCTGCAGAAAGCAAATCAGTATTGCCACCCTCCTCACGACTGCCTGCCCTTGATGATACCCATACACCACAGGAACTCCCATGTCCCCGACTTAGGATAAAAGTGAGCCGAAGAAGTGCCTGGGAACAACATTGTGCTGTGTCCCCATGCAGCAGTAACTGTCTTCCTCTGGGGAGTGCAGGAGCCAAGGGGTATGAATCGATAACACACATAGCCACACAGAGGGAAGAGCTTCAACCAAGCTGTCTCTCAGCCACAGAAGTCCAAAATGCCCAGCTACTCCACTTCACCCAAAGACGATCCCATCCCAAGCATTGATGCAGCCTGTGTCAACAAATGGATGTTGTCTCTCTCTCTAGCCCCTGATGAACAGTGTGCTGGACCTCAGTTCGACGAGGATGACGGTATAGAGTTTTCACTCATTTTGTTCAGCTTTCCAAGGAATGTATATATGGAAGTCATCATCGATCCATGCACATTATTCATGCCCAAAAATGAGGAAAATCAGGACTTTGGAAAGTGGACACTTACATTCAGAAGGGATACAACAGCCTCCAAAGGAGCCCACACCACATGTGTCCAGGGGCCTCATGGCATCTCCAAGGATCGCACAAGAAGAAGATTGTCCCTCGAAGATACCTCCTTTCCTCATGCCAACACCACCTGGGAAGTGCAGCGGAAATACGAGTGTGCTTCAAAAAAGCAGACACATTCACAGGTCATGAGGGCCGTGTCATCTGGCCCCCTATGGCATATCTGCTATCTGCCTGTCTCTGGCTTCCCTGGTTATGGATAAAACCGGAACTGCAATGTCCTTGAACAATGATGAAAATGAGTGGAAAAAACAGCAAAGGTGGGGCTTTGTGCTCTCTTCCCAAGCACAAACACCTGTCTTTCCTCAAGGGAATGATGGAACCCAGAGCTAAGACTCAAGGACAAATATGGCCACCAGAGGCAGGCTACAGGCTAAGTCTTCCCATGTCACCTTCACATTCACATAGTCCTACAGACGGTGTGTGTGTGTTACCTTGCAGAGAGAAGTCCCTAAAACAATTTCCTATTTATGAGAGATCTCACAACCCTGTGACTACCCCTTGCAGAAAGGGAGCCCCTCCTACAACTGAACAAACCCCTTGGTGCAACCTGCAGCAACAAATGAAACTTGGCCCTCACTCCAGCCCCTGTAAGAGCAATGTGCTGGACCTCAGTTCGACGAGGATGACGGTATAGAGTTTTCACTCATTTTGTTCAGCTTTCCAAGGAATGCATGTATGAAAGTCATCATCGATCCATGCACAGTCTTCATGCCCACAAAGGAGTAACATTAGGGGGTTTTGGGGAATAGATACTTACCAGCACCTGAAGAAGCCCACACCACACATGTCCTAGGACTCCCTGCCACATCCAGTGATCTGCTAAGAACAAGATCATCCATTGTCTCCACTGGCCTTCCTTCCATGCCCACACCACCTAGGAAGTACAGAGGCAACACGGGTGTGCTTGAGAAAGGCAGGCAAACACATAGGTCACAAGGGCCATGCCATTCAACCCCCTGTGGGATACCCTATCGCTACTTCCCATGGGATACCCATTTCAGGATGTGTGCATGGGAGTACCCATGCATGAAGGTTTGAGGCACACATACATTTTGAGGGCACCAGCAAGCTTCAGAGCACTAAATGTGAAGAACTCTGGACACCACTCATTTGGTGCCCCGACTCAAAAGCCCTTCCCTTGGCCATCAGAGAAGACAGAGACCATAGAGATATTTGAATGGGGAGAGTTTTGGGAAAAAAAAAACTCTTCCTGTGCATAGGGCAATTTTCCTTTAGCCTTGAAGCATTTTTACTGCAAGCATCCATCAACACACTTCACATTCAAGAAACATGCTCAATCACAATTCAGCCTCCACCTCGGGGTCTTTCTCACAGGTGCAGCTCAAGCACCCAGAAGGTGTGAGCCACCGTGCCCAGCCCCATCTCAAATTCTTAATGAAGACAAGCATTCCACAGAGGGCCTGAACACAAACCTGCCAAACCAAGTCAAGTCTGTGGAGTTGCGGGAACACATGGATTCGCAATTACATTCCCATCCCAGCATCCCAAGATCATCATAAAATAAACCGTATGCACCCTATAACACCCAAAAGAGGCTCACAGTCATCTCTCCACAACCCAGACAGAAGACTGTGTGGTAAATGCATGTGCAGCTTTCTCCCCTTCTAACCACCAGGACCCTTCTGGGACCATGCGGTTTGGGTTTCCTCCTATGGACATACAAGTTCAGTGTGGATACCCTCTCTGGGCTCCTCTGCAGAAAGCAAATCAGCATCGCCATCCTCCTGAAGACTGCCTGCCTGCCCCTGATGCTATCCAAACACCATGGGAAGTCCTACGTCCCTTGACAAGGATGAAAGTGAGTGAAAGAGGTGTCTGGGAATGACCTTGTGCTGTCTCCCCATGTGGAAGCAATAGTCTTCCTCTGGAGGACAAGGGACCCAAGGTACAAATTGACGACACACCTGGCTGCCTTCAACCAAGCTGTCTCTTAGTTACAAACGTCCAAAATTCCCAGCTACTCTCCTCTGCCAGAAAAAGACCCCACCCCAAGCCTTGGTGCAGTCTGTGTCAACAAATGGATGTTGTTCCTCTCTCTCGAGCCCCTGATGGAGCAGTGTGCTGGACCTCAGTTTGACGAGGATGACGGTATAGAGTTTTCACTCATTTTGTTCAGCTTTCCAAGGAATGTATATATGGAAGTCATCATCGATCCACACACAATCTCCATCCCTGCAAATGAGGAAACTCAGGGTGCTTTGAAATGGAATCACTTACATCCAGGAGGATCCCAACAGCCTCTGGAGGAGCCCCCACACCATGTATGTCCAGGGCTTCCTGCCATCTCCAAGGATCACACAAGATGATGACCATCCCTCATGACACGGGTTTGCCTTTTACACCAACACTACCTGCGAAGTGCAGAGGATAAAGAAGCATGCTTCAGAAAGGCAGACGGGTGCACAGGTCACGAGGACCATGCTATCTTCCCCCTGTGGTTTATCTGGAATATGCCTGTCTCTGGCTTCCCTTGTTCGTGAACCCAGAAATTTATGGACACAAGTATGCTCATCTTGGGGATGGCAGCCCTCAGAATGCATCATCCCGCTAAAGAGCACTGATGTTGAGCATCCTTCTCAATACCCTTGTTTCAACACCTGCAATGCCAGTCACAAAATAATCAAGGCCCTGCACCCCTAAAGAGGAAGCCATTGACCTGTATCTGGTTTGGGATAACCCAGAGCCTCGCTGTCTATCAGCCCCAGTTTGGAGAGGAAGCCTGCCTGTTCATGCCAAATATACATCCTCACAATGCACAGTACACAACATGGGCACATAGGCACAGAGGCTATGCCGGGTAAACACAACTCCAACATCCTCAGCTAAGGATAAAATGAGCCAACTAATGGCAAAGGTGTAGCCTTTTGCTCTCCCCGCAACCAGAAGGATCTGTCTTCCTCTGGGGGACTTCGGTACCCAGAGCTTGGACTCAAGGACAAACTTGGCCATCAGAGGCAGGCTACCAGTTAACTCTTCCCATGCAATCTGCCATTCACCTAGTCCTCCAGACAGCACATGAGTTATCCAGCCCTAGGACACAGAAGTCCTTCAAACAAGGTATGTCCTGTGCATGGGAGATCCTACTCCCCTGTGTCTACCATTCACCCAAAGAAACCCCATCCTAAGCCTGGATGGTCCCCTTGGTGCCACCCATGTCAACGAATCAATGTTGGCCCTCTCTGTCTAGCCCCTGTTGGAGTAATGTGCTGGACCTCAGTTCGACGAGAATGACGGTATAGAGTTTTCACTCATTTTGTTCAGCTTTCCAAGGAATGTATATATGGAAGTCATCATCGATCCACACACAATCTTTGTTTCTGCAAATGAGGAAAATCAGGGTGCACTGGGAAGGAATTGCTTACATTCAGGAGAGATCCAACAGCCTCCAAGGAAGCCTACACCATGTGTGTCCAGGAGCTTCCTGGCTTCTCTGAGGTTAACATGAGATGATGATTGTCCCTCACCAACATGGTCCTGGCCAATTCATCACTTCCACGTGGGAGGTGAAGAGGAAACACGGGTGTGCTTGAGAAAATCTGACAGATGTGCAGTACACAAAGGCCATGTCCTCTGATCCCCTGCAGTGTATCTGGTTGATACCCAACTCTGGCTTTACCTGATTTTGGACACAGAAATGCATGGACAAGGGCTCAGGTGCCCTTGTAGTAGTGCATCAGCACACTAAAGAGCACTGACATTGAGCATCCCTCTCAACACCCTTACATCGATACCTATAATGTCACTCACAAAAGCTACAGGGCCATGCAATTTTAATGAGGAAGCCATTGACGTACACTGGGCTGGGGTTAAGCTAGAGACTCCTTGCCTATCAGGCTCAGCTTGCAGTGGGAACCTGTGTGTTCCTGCCATATGCATGTACTCACAATGCATGGAACACAACATGAAAGCTATGCCAGGTGATTGGAACTCCACTGTTCTCAAACTAAGAATGAAAAAAAGAAAGGCAAAAGTATGGCCTTGTTCTCTCTTCCCAAGCACAATTACTTGTCTTCCTCCAGGGGTTGTGGGAACCCAGAGCCAGGAGTCAAGGACAATCTTGGCCACCCAGAGGCAGGCTACAGGTTAACTCTCCCTGAGCAACCTGCACATTCACCTAGTCCCACGGACTGCATGTGTGCTACCCCAGCCTTGTAGACAGAAGTCCTGTGCACATAGCCTCAACTCCCCTGTGACTCTCCTTCACCCAAACGGAATCCCTTCCTAAGCCTGGAAGAATGCTTCATGCAACGGGCATCAAAAAAAATGACAGTTGTCCCTCTATAGCCCCCGGTGGACCTCAGTTCAACTAAGATGATAGTACAGAGTTCCCACTCATTTTGTTCAGCTTTCCAAGGAATGCATGTATGGAAGTCATCATTGGTCCATGCACAGTATTCATTCCTGTAAAGGAAGAACATTAGGGTCTTTTGAGAAATGAACACATACCGTATGAAGGGATCCACCGGCACCCAAAGGAGCCCATGCCACATGTGTCCATGGGTTCCCTGCCATCTCCAGGGATCTCCCAAGATGAAGTTTATCCCTTGCAGCCTCTGTCTTTCTTTGCATGCCCATGCCACCTGGGAAGTGCAGAGGAAAAACAGGTGTGCTTGAGAAAGGCAGGCAGGTACACAGTTTGCAAGGGCCATGCCATTCCTCCTGCCATGCTGTATTCTATATCTACCTCCCATGGGTGACCTCTCTTTGGGGACTTATGCACAGATATACCCAGGCATGAAGGTATAAGGCAGGCATGCATTTCAAGGGCACCATCAAACTAGAGAACACTAAGCGCGAAGAATTCTCTCAATACCACACTTTCACCACCCCTGACTCAAAAGCCATTCTCTTGGCCATCAGAGAAGACAACAGCCATGAGGATATTTCAATGGGGAGAGCTGCAGGGAAAAAGTGTTCCAGCACAAAGAACAACTTTCCTTCGGCCTTGAAGCTCCTTCCACACACTTTGCATTGAGAAACACATTCAATCACACATCAACCTCCACCTCTGGCCTTCCTCACAGGTGCAGCTCAGGGAACCAGAAAAGCATCAGACATGCTGAATCCTACAGGGCTTCTATGGTGCTGTCCCTGAGAACACGATACGTCTTAAGCCACTTGCCTGTGAACATGGCCACAGAGTACAAAACTCTCCATCACTGGCCTGTGGATGACAGCCCTCATACAACTTCATGACTGTTTCACAAAGAGGACTGTTGTGAAGAATTAGGAGGAATTTGAAAATAACCTAACATCATAAGATAATGGAGAATTTAAGTGCAGAGACCTTGACGGGTCACTTTTCTGAGTAGATGCTACCACGACATGGGAAGTGACACACTCTTAACCTCAACTGCATTGAAGTGCCTGAGCAGTTCAGAAGCAAATGGCATCAGGCTCTCCTGGGCAAAACTTCCCCTCATCAATACAGAGGGAGCAACAAGCCCTTCCAGCAGTATGTACAACCATGGAAGGGTAGAAACCCTGGGCCAATATCTGCTCAAATGCCTAACACAGACAAGCATCCCACAGGGGTTCCTGAACACAGATCTCTCAAACCAAGTCAGTCTGCGAAGTGGCAGGAACACAGGGACTTGCAATCTCATTCCCATCCCAGCACCCCAAGGTCATCATGAAATGGAGCATGGGCACCCTACAACTCCCAAAAGAGGCTCATAGTCATTGCTCCACGACCCACATGGAATGTCGCTTGGTACATGCATGCACAGCCCTCTCCCCTTCCCACCACCAGTACACTGCAGGGACCAAAGGACTTGGGTTTCCTCCTATGGACATACGAGTTCAATGTGGATACCCTCCCTGGGCTCCTCTGCAGAAAGCAAATCAGCTCACCACCCACCTCATGGCTGCCTGCCCCTGATGCTACCCAAGTACCATGGGAACTCCCACATCCTCGACTGAGAATGAAAGTAAGCCGAACAAGTGTCCAGGAATGACATGCTCTCTCCCCAAAGGAAAGCAATGGTATTCCTGTGCAAGCGGGGAGGCGACAAACCAAAAAGCTATGAATCAAGGACACACACAGTCATGCACAAAGAGACTACTGGCTACTGCTTCCTGTGCCATCTGCAGCTTCAAGTTCTGCAGGCTGGCAGTGTGCTTACCCCACCTTCTCAGAGGAAATTCCTTCAACCAAGCTGTCTCTCAGCTACAGAAGTCCAAAAAGCCCAGACGCTTGCATTTGCCCAAAGAGGACCACATCCTAAGCCAAGGTGTAGACCATGTCAACAAACAGATGTTGGCCCCCTCTCCTTGCCCTCCAATGTAGCAGCATGCTGGGACCTCAGTTCAATGAGGATGATGGTATAGAGTTTTCATTCATTTTATTCAGCTTTCCAAGGAATGTATATATGGAAGTCATCATTGATCCAGGCACAATCTTTGTTTCTGCAAATGAGGAAAATCAGGGCTTTGGGAAGGGCTTGCTTACATTCACGACGGATCCAAAAGCCTCTGAAGGAGCCCATGCCACATGTGTCAAGGGGCTTCCTGGCATCTCCAAGGATCACATGAGAGGATGATCATCCCTCACAGACACAGTCCTTCCTTCCATGCCAACGCCACCTGGGAGGTACAGATGAAACATGGGCATGTTTGAGAAAGGCAGACATGTGCAGAGGTTATGAGGGCCATGCCATCTGGCCCCCTGCAGTACATCTGCAATCTGCCCATCTCTGGCTTCACCTGTTTATGGACGCAGAACTGCATAGACACAGGGATGCACGTCTGGATCCTGGGAGCCCATGGAGTACATAATCCCACTAGAGAGAACTGATGTTGAGCATCCCTTTAAACACCCGTGCACACCTGCAAAGTTGATCATAAAAGCCTCGGGGACCTGCACCCCTAACGAGGAAGCCTTTGACCTACACCAGGTTTGAGATAAGCCAGAGACTCGTTGCCTATCAGCCCCAGCTTAGGGCAGGAGGCCAACTGTATGTCTTCATAACACAGAGGGTACAACAGAGGCACTCTGGCCTGGATGTGAAGCATGCAGGTGACCAGAAATCTATGTACATACACAAGGATAAAAATGAGCCAAAAATGAGGCAAAAGTGTAGGCTTGTCCTCTCTTCCCAACGAGAAGGACCTGCCTTCCTCCCGATGATGAGAGAACCAAGAACTAAGACTCAAGAACAAACTGGGGGACACAGAGCCTAAGTCCTTTGTGTCACCTGCACATTCACCTAGTCTTGAAGATGGTGTGTGTGCTACCCTGGCCTCACTAAGAGATGTCCTTCACACCAGGAATCTCCTGTGCATGGGAGCTCCCACTCCCCTGGGGCTACCCCTTGCCAAAAGAGAACCCCATCCTAAGCCTGGACAGACCCCTTGGTGCAACCCACGTCAATGAATGAGAGGTAGACCTCCATCTCTAGCCCCTGTTGAAGCAGTGTGCTGGACCTCAGTTTGAAGAGGATGACAGTATAAAGTTTTCACTCATTTTGTTCAACTTTCCAAGGAACCCACGTATGGAAGTCATCATTGATCCATGCACAGTCCTCATACCTGCAAACATGGAACATTAGGTGCCTTTGGAAAACCAATACTTACCATCCTGAGGTATCCACCAGCCTGAAGGAGACCATGCCAAACATGTTTAGAAGCACTTTGCCATCTCCAAAAATCTCCCAAGATCAAAGTCATCCCTTGCGGTCACTGGCCTTCCTTCCATACCAACGCCACCTAAGAAGTGCAGAAGCAAAACAGTGTGCTTGAGAAAGGCAGTGAGGTGCATAGGTGGCAAGGGTCATGTCATTTGTCCTGTTGTGGAGTAATCTGTATCTACCTCCCATGGGCTCCCCTTCTTTCTGCACACATGCATGGGTTTGCCCAAACATGAAGGTAGGAGGCAGGCATGAATTTTGAAGGCACCATCAACTAGAGAGCACTAAGCATGAAGAACACTCTCAACACCACTCTTATAACACCTCCAACTCAAAAACCCTTCTCCTGGCCATCAGAGAAGACAAAGGCTATGGTGATACTTCAGTGAGGAGAGTTTGGAGGGGAAACCTCTTCCTATGCAAAGGTTAACTTTCCTTTGGCCTTGAGGCATTTTTACCCCTTGGGTCCTTCACACTCTTCCCATCCAGAAACATCACAAATCAACCTCCATGTGCACTACACAGGTACAGATCAGGGACCCAGAAGAGCACCAGGCATTCTGAATCCTACAAGATTTCTAAGGTGCTGCAGCTAAGAAAACAAGATCTTAAGGCACTTGCCTGTGAACATAACATCAGAGTCCAACACCTATCCATCATTGGCCTGTGGATGGTAGCCCTGTCCTACCACACAACGACTATTTCACAAAGAAGACTGCTGTGAAGAATTAGGAGGAATTTGAAAATACCCTAATATCAGGAGACGCTGAGGTATATAAGCAAGGAGACCTTCGCAGGTCACATTTCCAAGTAGAAGTCACCACGATGTGGGGAATGACACACTCTTATAAACCCCAACTGCATCAAGATGTCTGAGCGGTTCAGAGGCAAATGACATCAGGCTCTCCCAAGCAAACCATCCTGAGGATATCACGAAATGGACCTTGGGCACCCTGCAATGTCTTAAAGAGCCTCACAGTCATCACTCCACGACCCACATGGAATGATGCCAGGTAAAGGCACACACAGACCTCTCCCCTTCCCACAGCCACTACCCTTCTTGGGCCATGAAATTTGGAATTCTACTTATAGATGTACAAGTTCACTGTAGAGAGCTTCTCCAGGCTCCTTTCCAGAGAGCAAATCAGCATCACCACTGGCTTCAAGATGGCCAGCCCTTGATGCTACCCAAACACCATAAGAAGTCCCATGTCCCCGGCCACAGATGAAAGACAGTTGAAGAAGTGCTCAGGAATGGCACCGTGCTGTCTCCTCATGTGGAATAAATTGTCTTCTTCTGGGGGGTGACGAACCCAAGAGGTATGAATCAAGGACAGACCCAGCCATGCAGAGGTGGGCAACTGGATACCGCCTTCCTGTGGCACCTGCAGGTTTACCTTCTCCTGCACACTGGCAGGATGCTACCCCACCTTCTCACAGGTAAGTCGTTCAACAAACGTATCTCTCAGCCAGGGGAGTACAAAATACTCAGCTACTCAGTTTCACTGAAAGACAACTACATCCTAAGCCTTGGTGCACACCATGATAACAAACAGATGTTGGCCCCCTAAATCTAGGCCCTGATGGAGAAGCGTGCTGGACCTCAGTTAGATGAGGATGATGGTACTGAGTTTTCACTCATTTTGTTCACCTTTCCAAAAAAAAAAAAAAAACGTATATATGTAAGTCATCATCAACCTACACATAGTCTTTGTCCCTGCAAGTGAGGAAAATCAGAATGCTTTCAGAAGAAATCACTTACATTCAGGAGAAATCCAAAAGCCTCCAAAGGAGCCCACACCATTTGTATCCAGGGGCCTCATGGCATCTCAAAGATCACACAAGACGAAGACCATCCTTCTTGGACAAGGGCCTTCCTTCCATGCCAATGACACCAGGAAGGTGCAGAGGAAATGAGTGTGCTTCAGAAAGACAGACAGGTACATAGGTCAGGAAGGCTATGTCATATAGACTCCTGTGGTACATATGAAATCTGCTTATCTATGGCTTCACATATCTGTGTTCACAGAAACACATATACAGAGTTGCACATGTGGATTCCGGGTACCCTGGGAGGGCGTCATGCCACTAAAGAGTATGGGCGTAGAGCATCCCAATCAACACCATGGCTTCAATACTTGCAATTTGTGTACAAAAGACTTGGTGCCCTGGATGCTGAAAGCCAAAAACTTGTACCACTACTCAGTTCAAGATAAGATAAGAGATGACATGCCAGTCAGCCCAACATTGGAACAAAAGCAAAAACATTCAGGAAATATGTACTTCCTCAACATATAAAAAAAACAAGGAAACTTTCTCCATGAATGTTGGTGAAAGGCTGTGATTGGTGACCAGAACCTGGCTAAAAATCAATCATGCAACAAAAATCCAAAACCTAGCATTAAGGGTGAAACCAACTTGACACCAAGAAGAGTAACACTAAAAAAATTCATGGGCTACCCAAGTATGATTCTCAAATACATTTATGATAAAGAATTTTACTATGGTCAAAACGACCACAAAAATTGAATGCCAGTGCCTGGGTAGTGAAGTACCATGTAATATGACAGTTACCCGTGAACCACAATAAGCCAAAGTGGAGGCAATGTGCTGGACCTCAGTTCCGATGAGAACGACGGTATGAGTTCTCACTCATTTTGTTCAGCTTTTCCAAGGAATGTTTTTATGGGGGACTCATCATCGATCCAAGCACATTCAAAGACGCAGGATGTTTGACATCATAGGCTGGGCAGTGGGTGAGCCGATGACCTTAAACATGTTCGGCACCCTGGGGAACCCAGAGCTGTGCCACTGAGCAAAAGGTACAGACCATCCACTCTAGGAGAGGAACTCAGCATGCCATTAGTGGCCTACTGAAAAACTGTTCATTGTGGGTCTTGGGAATCCCAAAGACACCCTCACTCAGCACGAAGGGCAGAGGAATGCTTACCGTCCTGAGCCACCCACCAGCACGGGGTGCACTGTGGATACCAGGCCACACTGAAACCAGGACTCTACGTGGCCTTTGTTGCTTGGGAGAATCGACCATCTTCCTTCCAGCAGGCCTGCGCCTCCCATGGCAACTGCCCCTGAGAAGTGTAAAGAAACCAAATGCATGCTTGAGAAATGGGCCCAGGTCCACTGGTCACTTCAAACCCATTCTTACCTGTGGGGCAACTTGCATGCCTGCTTCTCCTTGGCCTCCATGATTGATCTCCATCTCCATGAATGTATCTTACCTCTGTCACTCTGTGGACACATAGGAAGTGTGTGTGCCTGGAACAACCTCATGTGCCCATTGCTGCGAGTATTTGCCTGTGGCTGTGCACACGTGTGTGTGTGTGTGTGTGTGTGTGTGTGTGTGAGATTCCCACTGCAATGGGCGGTTATAGTCTGCAGCCTCCAGACCTGATCCCCCCAACAAATCAAAGGTTCAAGACCTTCAATCAGTAGGATGTGCACTCTGATCTCAAGGCCACGTGGAAATAGGCCTGA
Organism: Homo sapiens; assembly: GCF_000001405.40. Lineage (NCBI taxonomy): Eukaryota > Metazoa > Chordata > Mammalia > Primates > Hominidae > Homo > Homo sapiens. The sequence continues at coordinate 25,072,318 of NC_000015.10, read as the reverse complement.
TGTCCCTCGTGTAACAGCCACCACACCCCTGGCGCGAATACAGGCTACTCCTCACAGGGCCTCTGATGTCGGGACCAGACACTGTCTCTTGCTGCACTCCCAGGTAAGGCACATCTGGCGGAAAACCAACCAAAACCTGTGCTGGAAGGCACCTGCCCAATGCTCAGAATGTTGCACTGATACATGACGTCAAAGCCAGAGGTGGTCTTCCCAACCTAGCCAAACGACCTCAAGAAACAGCTTCCTCCACTCCACTCAGTCCACGTACGCACACGTGCCCTCAGGATGCCTGAAGAGAATGGCTGCTTCTCCAACAGGACGTCCACGCCTGATGCCCCAAAAGCCGAGTGGACAAGACACACCACCTAACATTGTCCTTGCACTGGTCACCTCACAGGGCTTCCCTGCACTGACCTCAGAGGCAATGTCCCATCGTGCAGTCAGCTTGACCGCATTCCCACCCACAACAATGCCTGCAAGTCAACACCACCTCAACACCAGCACCAGGTGTAGATACATGTGGCTACTAAGTGAGCTGCTAGCTGTAGAACCACCAATCCTTTCCAACTTTCCTAAGCCAACCACAAGCCCGTCAATGTGGCATGGCTGTCCTGGCTGCACTGTGACTTCAAACTGGCTAAGGGAACTGAAACGCTTCATCACCCCAGGATGGAGCAGAATCCAGCACTTGAATATCGCCATCATACAGTGGCACGGAGGCATCCCAAGTCAAAAGATTCTCTGTGGCAATGCCATTGGGATTGCACATATGTTGCCTGGAATCTGGAATACACACAGACCTTCATGAATAGCCCCAAGTGTGACTAGAGCCCATGGGAGAGGCCCAGGGCAGAGCCAGAGCCAAGGCACATTCCCTCTGGATGCCTTCGGGATGGAAGCTGCTTTCCAAGTGGGAAAGTGGATCCAGAGCACTATTTGCTCAAACGAGCTGCAGCAGGTGGGGCCATCCGGCAACGGCGGGCCAAGAGACCATTTCCAGGAAGATGTGCACAACAGTGGAGCCCACTACTCTGCCGTGAAGACCAGAAGTGACCAAGGGCTGTGGGTGCCAGCCTGACCCTCATGTTCACTGTGACCTGCCCTCAATGACCCCTGCTGGCTGAGCTGTCATCTGCCAGAGAAATCCATGTGAAGCCCATCACTGCCAAATGACAGCCCCAGACCACTGATGACACACATGTCCACGTGAGCCCTCTACCACCTTTTCTCTGGAATACTTTCCTGCCCAGGCCTCTGCCATTGCACTACGAGCAGCTCACAGCTCAGGAGGCCAAGAAATCCCTGCCAGGGAGGCCCTGTGACCAACCCTGGAAGGAGAGCCAAAGAGCCTTTGGATATCTGCTGGGACACCCATTGCTCTTCCCCATCAACTTGGCACTCCCTTGTCCTCAGGTAACCAGAAATCAAGACAAAGATCTGCCTGAGGCCCACACCTCATGCTCTCCTTGGCAAAAAAATCGGACCCAGTCCTGTGTGCAGTGACATCTGCCGCGAGATCTGGGTCTCCCTTCCTGGGAGCTCACCAAGCTGAGGCCAGCCACACACTCCTTGAGGCCTGCAAAATTTCTGTACTCTTCCATGGCTGCCACACCATAACAAAGCAGACAATTTGCCCATGACTCTCTTACCCGTCTACATCGCACAGAGGAAATGTTCCTAACCTGTGTGTGATGGGAGACTTTGGCCTGTGGATGCCCTGGGAGGTGGAACCTATGGGAACTAGTGGAAGTTGTCCCTCAATCCTACAGTCCCCGGCAGAGGCAAATGTGCTGGACCTCAGTTCCGATGAGAACGACGGTATGAGTTCTCACTCATTTTGTTCAGCTTTTCCAAGGAATGTTTTTTTGGAGGACTCATCATCGATCCAAGCACATTTGAAGAGGCAGGACATTTGACACCACAGGCTGGGCAGTGGGTGAGCCAATGACTTTAAAGACCACAGCCATGCCCTTAATGGCCTGCTGAAGAACTGCTCCTTGTGGGTCTCAGAAATCCTAAAGACACCCTCAGTCATCATGCGGGGCAGAGGAATGCTTACCGTCCTGAGCCATCCACCAGCACGGGGTGCACCACGGATGCAAGGCCACACCGAATCCAGGACTCCATGGGGCCTTCATTGCTCAGAAGCATCAACCATCTTCCTTTCAGCAGACGGCAGGCCTCCCACGGCAACTGCCCCTTAGAAGTGTAAAGAAATCACATGCATGCTTAAGAAACAGACCAAGGTCCACTGGTCACCTCTTCAACGCCATTCTTGCTTACAGGGCAACTCACACACCTACTTTTCCTTGGCCTCCATGATTGACTTCCATTACCATGAATATACCTGACCCGTGTCACTCTGTGGAGACCTAGGAAGCGTGTGTGACCGAAACGACAGCATGTGCCCATTGCTGAATCTATTTGCCTGTGGCTATGCACGCCTGTGTGTGTGTGTGTGTGTGTGTGTGAGAGAGAGAGTGTGTCTGTGTGTGTGTGTATGTGTGTCTCCCTCATGCACATATGTTTCCCAACACCACAAGGGGTGGTCATAGTCTGCAGCCTCTAGACCTGAACCTCCTCACAACCCAAAAGCTCAAGACCCAGGCCTTCAATCAGTAGGATGTGAACTTTGACCTTGAGGCCATGCGGACATGGGCCCGAGGTCCCTTGCCTAACAGCCACCAAGCCTGGCATGAGCACACACTCCTCCTCACAGGGCATCTGATGTTGTGACCAGACACTCTCTCTGGCTGCCCTCTCAGGTGAGGCACATGTGGTGGAAAACCAACTACAACCAGCACTGGAGGGCACCATCGCAAAGTCCAGCACCTCAGTTTGAAACTCAGTGTCAAGGCCAGAGGCAGTCTTCCCAACCTAGCCAAACAATCTCAAGACACGGGCTTCCTCCCCTCCACTCAGTCCACATGCCCACACCGTGCCCTCAGGACATCCTAGCTAATGGCTGCTATTCCAAGAGGACATCTCCACTTGACCCCCTAAGGACAAGGTTGACAGGACACACCGCCTGTCATCATTCTTGCACTGGACACATCTACAGGGCTTCCCTGCACCGACCTCTGAGGCAACATCCTATCACACAGCCAACTTGACCTCACTACTACATACCACAGTGCCTATAAGTCAACACTGTCTCAACACCACGGGGTCCACAAGCACGTTTCTGCTAAGTGAACTGCAAGCCGTAGAACTACCAACCTTTTCAGCTTTCCTAAGCCAACTGTGTGCCCTTCAGCGTGACATGCCTGTCCTGGCCGTGCTGAGACTTCAAACCAGTTAAGGGAGCTGAAATGCTTCACCACGCCTAGGGCATAGCGGAATCCAACACTGGAACACTGTCAACACGCAGAGTCATCCCAAGTCGAGAGACTCTCTGTGGCAATGCCGCTGGGACTGCATACGCATTGCCTGGAATGCACACAGACCTCCGTGGATAGCCCCATGCATGACTGGAACCCACTGGAGAATCCCAGGCCAGGGCCAGGGCACATTCCCTCTGGATGCCTTCAGAATGGAAATTGCTTTCCAAGCGGGAAAGAGGATCCAGAGCAGTTATTTGCTCACATGAGTTGCAGCAGGTAAGGCCACCCAACAATGCATGCCAAGAGACCATTTCCAGAAAGGTGTGCACAACGGTGGAGCCCACTACTCTGCTGAGAAGACCGGAAGTGACCCAGGGCCACAGACACCATCCCGACACTCACTTGCCCAGAGACATGCCCTCAAAGACCCGCCCTGGCTGACCTGTCATCCACCAGAGAAATCCATGGGAAGCCCATCACCACCAAGTGACAGCCCAATGCAGCTGATGACACACATGTCCACATGAGCCCTTCACCACCTTTTCTCTGGGGTACCATCCTGGCCAAGCCTTGGTCACTGCACCATGGTCATCTCATGGCTAGGGATGCAAAGAAATCCATGCCAGGGGGCACCTGTGACTGATGCTGGAAGGAGGGCCAAAGAGGCTTTAGCCATCTGCGGTGACACCCATTGCTCTGTGCTCTCCTCCATCACCTTGGAACTCCCATTATCAGCTAGTGGAAAATGAAGACCAAGGTCTATCTGAGGCCTGAGCCTCATGCTCTCCTTGGCAGGGGAACTGTGACCTGGTCCTCTACATAAAGACACCTGCTGCGAGGCCCGGGTCTCCCTTCCTGGGAGCTCACCAAGCCGAGACCAGCCATACACAACCCTAGGTCAAAACACTTCCACCTGCTTCCGTGGCTGCCACAACATCACAGAGTGGCCAATCCCTCCACAACTGTCCCATCCGTCTATGTCATACAGAGGAAATGTTCCTCACATGCATGTGATAGGAGATTTTCATCTGTAAATGCCCTGGGTGGTGGAACCCATGGGAACCAGTGGAAGTTGTCCCTCGCTCCTACAGTCCCCAGAGGAGGCAACGTGCTGGACCTCAGTTCTGATGAGAACGACGGTATGAGTTCTCACTCATTTTGTTCAGCTTTTCCAAGGAATGTTTTTATGGGGGACTCATCATCGATCCAAGCACGTTCGAAGAGGCAGAACATTTGACACCACAGGCTGGGCAGTGGGAGAGCTGATGACCTTAAACACCTTCAGCATCCTGGGGGGAACCCAGAGCCACACCACTGAGCAATGAACACAGACAATCAGCTCTGGGAGTGGAACTCGCCATGCCATTAGTGGCCTGCTGAGAAACAGCTCTTTGCAGGTCTCAAAATTCAAAAGACACCTCTGCACACAGGGCAGAGGAATGCTTACCACCCTGAGCCACTCACCAGCATTGGGTGCACCATAGATGCCAGGCCACACCAAATCAGGACTCAAGGCAGCCTCTGTTGGTCAGAAGAATTGACCATCTTCCTTGCCAGCAAGCGGCAGACCTCTCATGACAACTGCTGCTGAGAAGTGTAAAGAAATCAAATGCATGCTTGAGAAACGGGCCCAAGTCCACTGGTCACCACTTCAATCCCATTCTTTCCCACAGGGAAACTTGCACACCGGCTTCTCCTTGGGCTCCATGACAGACCTCCATCTTCATGAATATACCTGACCCATGTCACTCTGTGGACACCTAGGAAGCACATGTGACCACAACAATAGCACACACCCATTGCTGCATCTATCTGCCTGTGGCTGTGCACGCCTGTGCATGTGTAGGTGTGTATGTCAGAGTGAGTGTGTCTATGTGTATGTGTCTCCCCCACACAGATGTTTCCCAACAGCACAACGGGTTGTCATAGTTGGCAGCCTCCAGACCTGGAAACCATCCCCACACCTGCAACCAAAAGGCTCGAGACCCAAGGCCTTCAATCAGTAGGATGCGAATTTTGACCTAGGGGTCAGACAGACATTGGCCTGATGTCCCTCGACTAACAGCCAGCACCCCTGGCGGTGCAAGCACACAGTCCTCCTTACGGGGCATATAATGTCGTGACCAGACACTGTCTCTCGCCGCTCTCCCAGGTAAGGCACACCTGACACCAAACCAACCAAAACTTGCACTGGAAGGCACCTTTGCAATGGCCACCACGTTGGTCTTAAACACGGCACACGGCATCAAGGCCAGAGACAGTCTTCTGAACCCAGCCAAAGGACCTCAAGACACACACTTCCTTCCTCCAATCAGTTCACATGCCCGCACCATGCCTTCAGGACACACAAAGGGAATGGCTAGTTTTCCAACAGGACATTCCTGCCTGAACCCCTAAAGACAAGGTGGACAGGACACACCACCTTTCATTTTCCTTGCATTGGACACACCTACAGGGCTTCGCTGCACCGACATCTGAGGCAACATCCCATCATGCAGCCAACTTAACTGCACTACCAACCACCCCAACGTCAGCAAGTCAACACCATCTCAACACCATCACCAGGTTTACATGCAAACAGCTATGAAGTGAGCTGCGAGACATAGAACCACCAACCCTTTCCGACTGTCCTAAGTCAACTATGTGCCATGCCAATGTGGCACGGCTGTCCTGGCTGCACTATGATGTCAAACCGGCTAAGTGAGCTGAAACGCTTCATTGCCCTGAGGATGTAGCAGAATCCAATACTGGAACATCGCCAACACACAAAGGCGAGGAGGCATCCCAAATCAAGAGACTCTCCACGGCAGTGCCCCTGGTATTGCACATGTGTTGCCTGGAATGCACAAGGACCTCCATGAATACGCCAAGTGTGACTGGACCCCATCGGAGAGTCCCAGGCCAGGGCCAGGGCCAGGGCACATTCCCTCTGGACGCCTTTGGGATGGAAGCTGCTTTCAAAGCGGGAAATGGGATCCAGAGCAGTATTTGCTCACACGAGCTGCAGCAGGTGGGGCCGCCTGGCAATGGCGGGCCAAGAGACCATTTCCAGGAAGATGGACACTTCTACTACTCTGCCAGGAAGAATGGAGTGACCCAGGACCACAGGCATCAGCCCGACCCTCATGCTCCCTAGGACCTGCCCTTGAAGACCCCCAATGGCCAACCTGTCATCCACCAGAGAAATCCCTGGAAAGCCCATCACCACCAAATGACAGCCCAAGACCACTGATGGCATGCATGTCCACGTGAGCCCTCTACAACCTTTTCTCTGGGGTACCTTCCTGCCCAGGCTTGGCCACAACACCACAGGAATCTCACAGCTCGAGAGGTGAAAAAAGTCTGTGCTGGGGGCCCCCTGGGACTGACCGTGAAAGGAGGGACAGAAAGGCTTTAGCTGTCTGCCACAACATCCATTGCTGTGCGCTCTCCCCTATCACCCTTGGCACTCCCCTGTCCTCAGCTAACCAAAGATCAAGACCAAGGACTGTCTGAGGCCTGGGCCTCATGCTCTCCTTGAAAGCAGAACTGGAACACGTACCTGGTCCTCTATGCAAGGATGCCCGCAGCGATTTCCAGGTCCCCCTTCCTGGGAGCTCACCAAGCCGAGGCCAGCCCCACACTCCCCTAAGCCTGCGACATTTCCATCCACTTCCACGGCCACTATGCCATCACAGAGCAGCCAGTCACCCTATGACTCTCTGACCTGTGTACCTGACACAGAGGAAATGTTCCTTTTTTTGGGAGGGGAGTGGGGGGAATGTTTGTAATATGACAGGAGACCTTCACCTGTGAACGCCATGGGTGTTAGAACCTATAGGGACTAGTGGAAGTTGTCCCTCACTAGTAAAGGCCCCAGAGGAAGCAATGTGCTGGACCTCAGTTCCGATGAGAATGACGGTATGAGTTTTCACTCATTTTGTTCAGCTTTTCCAAGGAATGTTTTTTTTGGAGGACTCATCATCGATCCAACCACATTCAAAGAGGCAGGACATTTGACACTGCAGGCTGGGCAGTGTGCGAGCTGATGACCTTAAAGGCCTCGACAATGCCCTTAATGGCCAGCTGAAAAACTTCCTTGTGGGACTCAGAAATTCTAAAGACACCCTCACTCATCATGCGGGGCAGAGGAATGCTTACTGTCCTGAGCCATCCACCAGCACAGGGTGCACTGTGGATGCGAGGCCACACCGACTCCACGACTCCATGGAGATTCCACTGCTCGGAAGAACTGACCATCTGTCATGCCAGCAGGCGGTGGGCCTCTCAAGGCAACTGCCCCTGAAAAGTGTAAAGAAATCAAATGCACGCTTGAGAAATAGGCCCACGTCCACTGGTCACCACGTCAATGTCATTCTTTCCCACGGGGCAACTCGTACCCCTGCTTCTCCTTGGACCCTATGACTGACCTCCATCTCCATATTCATACCACTACTCTGCTGGGAGGACCAGAAGTGACCCAGGGCCATGGACACCATCCCGACACTCACTCGCCCAGAAACATGCCTTCAAAGACCCATTCATACCTTACCTGTGTCACTCCATGGACACCTATAAGTGTGTGTGGCCTAACGATTGCACACACCCATTGCTGCATCTATTTGTCTGTGGCTGTGCACACATGTGTGCATGAGTGTGTCTCTGTGTGGATGTGTGTCCCCCTAATGCACATGTGTTTCCCAACACCCCAGCGGGCAGTCATAGTCTGCAGCCTCCAGACCGGAACCAACCCCACTAAACCAAAGACTCAAGACCCCAGCCTTCAATCAATAGGATGTGAACTTTGACCTCAAGGCCATGAGGAAAGAGGTCCAAGGTCCCTTGCCTAACAGCCAGCACCCCTGGCACGAGCACATGCTCCTCCTCACAGAGCATCTGATGTCATGACCAGACACTGTCTCTGGCCCCTTTACCAGGTGAGGTGCACCTGATGGAAAACCAACCACAACCAGCACTGGAGGGCGCCTTTGCAATGGCCAGCACATCACTCTGAAACAGCATCAGGGCCACAGGTAGTCTTCCCAACCTAGCCAAAGGACCTCAAGACACACGCTTCCTTCCCTCCACTCAATCCATGTGCCTGCACCATGCCCTCTGGACACTCAAAGAGAATGGCTGCCTTTCCAAAAGGACATCTCCACCTGACCCCCCAAAGACCAGGCAGACAGGACATTGTCATTATCCTTGCATTAGACACACCCACAGAGTTTCCCTGCACCAACCTCTGAGACAATATCCCATCACTCAGCCAGCTTGACCATGCTACCACCCACCCCAATGCCAGCAAGTCAACACTGCATCAACACCACCCGGTCTACATGCATGCAGCTACTAAGTGAGCTGCAAGATGTACGACCACCAATCCTTTCCAATTTTTCTGTGCCAACTGTATGCCCTTGAAAGTGGCATGGCTGTCCTGCCTGCTCTGTGACTTCAAACCAGCTAAGGGAGCTGAAATGCTTTATCACGCCTAGGGACTTTTGGAGTCCAACACTGGAACATCGCCAGCACACAGTCACATGGAGACATGCCAAGTCAAGACTCTCTGTGGCAATGCCCCTGGGATTGCAAACACACTGCTCAGAATGCACATAGATCTCCACGGGTAGCCTCATGCATGACTGGAGCCCAAAGGAGAGTCCCAGGCCAGGGACAGGGCACATTCGCTCTGGACACTTTTGGGATGGAAAGCGGGAATGATACAGAGCAGTATTTGCTCACGAGAGCAGCAGCAGGTGGGGCCACCCGACAACGAAGGCCAAGAGACCATTTCCAGGAAGATGTGCACAACAGTAGAGCCCCCTACTCTGCTGGGAACAACAGAAGTGACCCAGGGCCATGGACACCATCCTCACACTCACTCACCCAGAGACATGCCCTCAAAGACCCACCCTGGCTGACCTGTCATCCACCAGAGAAATCCATGGAAAGCCTATCACTGCCAAATTAAAGCCCAATGCACACTCATGTCCACGAGAGCCCTCTAGCACCTTTTCTCTGGAATACCACCCTGCCTACACCTTCACCACCAAACCACAGGCATCTTACATTTCGGGAGGCAAAGAAATCCGTGCTGGGGGGACACTGTGACCAACATTGGCAGGAGGGCTGAAGAGCCATTGGCCATCTGCCGTGGCACCCATTGCTCCACACTCTCCCTCATCACCCTTGGCACTTCCCTGTCCTCAGCTAACCAGAAATCAAGAACAAGGTCTGCCTGAGGCCTGGACCTTGTGCTCTCCTTGGTAGCAAAAGTGAGACCTTGTCCTCTGCATGGAGATGCCACCCATGAGGTCCAGGCCTCCCTTCCTGAAAGCTCACCAAGCTGAGACCAGCCACACACTCCCCTAGGCCCACGACATTTCTCCCCTCTTCCATGGCCGCCACGCCATCACAGAGCAGCCAGTGCCCCCACAAATCTCCCACCCATGTACCTCACACAGAGGGAATGTTCCTAACGAGTATTTCATGGGAGACTTTGGCCTGTGGATGTCCTCGGTGGTGGAACCTATGGGAACCAGTGGAAGTTGTCCCTCGCTCCTACAGTCCCCACGGGAGGCAACGTGCTGGACCTCAGTTCTGATGAGAACGACGGTATGAGTTCTCACTCATTTTGTTCAGCTTTTCCAAGGAATGTTTTTATGGGGGACTCATCATCGATCCAAGCACATTTGAAGAGGTGGGACATTTGACACCCACAGGCCAGACAGTGGGCAAGCCGATGACGTTAAAGAACTTTGGCACCCTAGGGAAGCCAGAGCCGCGCCACTGAACAACCGGCACAGACCATCCACTTTGGGAATGGAACTCGCCATGCCATTAATGGCCTGCCAAGAAACTGTTGCTCACAGGTCTCAGAAATTCTAAAGGCACCATCACTCAGCACACGGGGCAGAAAAATGCTTACCGTCCTGGGCCACCCGCCAGCACGGGGTGCACCGTGGATGCCAGGCCACACCAAATCCAGGAACCCGCAGGGCCTGTTTCTCAGAAGCATCGACCATCTTCCTTGACAGCAGGCAGCGGACCTCCCACGGCAACTGTCCCTGAGAAGTGTAAAGAAATCAAATGCATGCTTGAGAAACAGGCCCAGGTTCACTGGACACTTCAACACCATTCTTTCCCACAGGGCAACTCACACACCTGCTTCTCCTTGGCCTCCATGACTGACCTCCAGCTCCATGAATATACCTTACCTGCGTCACTCTGTGGACACCTAAAAGCATATGTGGCCAGAACCACACCATGTGCACATCGCTGCATCTATTAGCCTATGGCTGTCTGTGCCTGTGTGTGTGTGTGTGTGTGTGTGAAAGAGAGAGTGTGAGTTTGAGTGTGAGTGTATGAGAGTGTGTGTGTATGGGTGGGTGTGGGTGTGTGCATGTGTGAGAATGTTAGTTTAAATGGGCATGTTTGTCTCCCTAATGCACATGTGGGTCCCAACACCACAATGGGCAGTTCTAGTTTGCAGCCTCCAGACCTGATCCCCCCAGCAATCCGATGGCTCAAGACCCTGGCCTTCGATCACTGGATGTGAACTTTGACCTCCGGGCCATGTGGAAACAGGTCACAGGTCTCTTACCTAACAGCCACCACCTCTGGCAGGAGCACAGGCTCCTCCTCTTCCTCATGGGGCTTCTGATGTCATGACAAGACACTGTCTCTGGCCACCCTCTTAGGTGAGGTGCACCTGGCGGAAAACCAACCACAACCAGCTCCAGAGGGCGCCTTTGCAAAGTCCAGCATGTCAGTCTGAAACTTGGCATCAAGGCCAGAGGTAGGACTAGCAACCTAGCAAAAGGACCTCAAGATACATGCCTCCTCCCCTCCACTCAGTCCATGTGCCCGCACCGTTCCCTCAGGACACCCAAAGAGAATGGCTGCTTTTCCAACAGGACGTCCCTACCTGAATTCCCAAGGACCAGGTTGACAGGACACACTGCCTGTCATCGTTCTTCAATTGGACACACCCACAGGGCATCCCTGCACCGACCTCAGAAGCAATAACCCCTCATGCAGCCAATCTGACTGCACTACTACCCACCCCAACACTGGCAAGTCAACACTGCATCAGCACCACCAGGTCTACATGCATGCAGCTACTAAGTGAACTGAGAACTGTAGAACCACCAATCCTTTCCAACTTTCCTAAGCCAACCAAGTGCCCTTGAAAGTGGCACGGCTGTCCTGGCTGCACTGTGAATTTAAACTGGCTAAGGGAGCTAAAATGCTTCATCATGCATAGGGAGTAGCGGAATCCAACACTGGAACATTGCCAACATGCAGAGGCGTGGAGGCATCCCAAGTCAAGAGACTTTCCGTGGCAACACCCCTGGGATTGCACACGCATTGCCCGGAATGGACACGGACCTCCACAGACAGCCCCATGCATGATTGGAACCCACGGGAGGGTCCTGGGCCTGGGCCAGGGCACATTCCCTCTGGATGCCTTTGGGACGGATGCTGCTTTCAAAGCAAGAAAAAGGATCAAGAGCAGTATTTGCTCACACAAGCTGCAGCAGGTGGGGCCGCCTGGCAATGGCGGGCCAAGAGACTATTTACAGGAAGATGTACACAACGGTGGAGCCCATTACTCTGCCAGGAAGATCGGAGTGACCCAGGGCCACAGGCAGCAGCCCAACCCTCACACGCCTGGGAACTGCCCTTGAAGACCCCTGCTGCCCGACCTGTCATCCATCAGAGGAATACACGGAAAGCCCAGCACCACCAAATGAGAGCCCAAGACCACTGATGGCACACCTGTCCATGTGAGCCCCCTACCACCTTTTCTCTGGAATACCAGAGAATATGTCCTACCCAGGTCTCCACCACCACACCATGGGCATCTCACGGTTCAGGAGGCAAAGAAATCCATGCTGGGGTGACCCTGGGACCAACGCTGGGGGAAGGGCCGAAGAGGCTTTGGCCATCTGCTACAACACCCATTGCTCTGCACTCTTCCCCATCACCCTTGGCACTCCCCTGTCCTCAGCTAACTGAAAATCAAGACCAAGGTCTGCCTGAGGCTGGGACCTCATACTCTCTGTAGTAGGGGAACCAGGACCCGGTCCTGTGTGCGAGGAAGCTTGACACAAGGTCCGGGTCTCCCTTCCTGGGAGCTCATCAGTGCCACGCACTCCTCTAGGCCTGAGATTTTTCCGTCCACTTCCACAGCTGCCACGCCATCACACAGCATCCAATCCCTCCGTGACTCTCCTAACAGTGTATCTCACGCAAAGGGAATGTTCCTAATGTGCGTGTGATGGCAGACATTTACCTGCGGATGCCCTGGGTGGTGGAACCTATAGGGACTAGTGGAAGCTCTCCCTCACTCCAACAGTCCCTGCTGGAGGCAACGCGCTGGACCTCAGTTCCGCTGAGAACGACGGTATGAGTTTTCACTCATTTTGTTCAGCTTTTCCAAGGAATGTTTTTTTGGGGGGACTCATCATCGATCCAAACACATTTGAAGAGGCAGGACATTTGACACCACAGGCTGGGCAGTAGGTGAGCTGACGACCTTAAAGACCTTCGGCACCCTGGGGAAGATAGAACCATGGCACTGAGCAAAAGGCAGAGACCATTTGCTCAAGGAATGCAACTCACCATGCCATTAGTGGCCTCATGAGAAACAGCTCATTATGGGTCTTGGAAATCCAAAAGACACCGTCACTCAGCACATGGGGCAGAGGAATGCTTACCATCCTGAGCAATCCACCAGCATGAGGTGAACCCTGGAAGCCAGGCCACACAGACTCCAGGACTCTGCAGGGCCTTTGTGGTTCAGAAGAACTGACCATCTTCCTTCCAGCAGGCAGCGGGCCTCCCACGGCAACTGCCCCTGAGAAGTATAAAGAAATCAAATGTACGCTTGAGAAACAGGCCCAGGTCCACTGGTCACTACTTCAGTGCCATTCTTTCATGCGTGGCAACTTGCACGCCTTGCTTCTGTTGGCCTCCATGAGTGACCTCTGTTTCCATGAATGTACCTTACCAGTGGCACTCTGCAAACAGCTTGGAGCTGTGTGTGGCGCCAGACCGACCGCGCACACACACATTGCTGAGTGGCTGTGTGTGTGTGTGTGTGTGTGTGTGTGTATCTCCCTCATGCACATGTGTTTCCCAACACGAGTTTCCCAACATGGCAACATGCAGTCATAGTCTGCGGCCTCCAGACCTGAGCCCCTACCAACCCAACAATTCAAGACCAAGGCCTTCAATCAGCAGGATGTAAACTCTGACCTCGAGGCCATGCAGACATAGGCCCAAGGGCCCTCACATAACAGCCACCATCCCTAGCCTGAGCATAAGCTCCTCCTCACGGGGCATCTGATGTCGTGACCAGACACTGTCTCTGGCAGCACTCCCAGGAAAGGCACACCTGGCACAAAACCAAACACAACCAGCACTGGAGGGCGCCTTTGCAACGGCCAGCACGTCACTCTGAAACTCAGCATCAAGGCCACAGGCAGTCTGCCCAACCTAGGCAAATGACCTCAAGACACGGGCTTCCTCTCCTCCACTCAGTCCATGTACCTGCACCATGTCCTCAGGACACCCAAAGGGAATGGCTGCTTTTCCCATGGGACATCCCTGCCTAACGCCCCAAACACCAGGCAGACAGGACACAGTGCCTTCCATCATCCTTGCATCGATCACACTCAAAGGCCTTCCTTGCACCGACCTCCGACGCAACATCCCACCACGCAGCCAACTTGGATGCAGGACCATCCTCCCCAACACCTGCTCAACGACATCTGACAACCACCACCAGGTCTACATGCACATGGCTACTAAGTGAGCCACGAGCCGCAGAATGACCAATCCTTTCCAACTTTCCTAAGCCATCTGCATGCCCTTCAACATGGCATGACTATCCTGGCTACGCTGAGACTAACGGGGTTGAAACAGTTCATCACACCTAGGGCGTAGCTAAATCCAACACTTGAGTATCACCAACATGCAGAGGAGTAGAGGCAACTCAAATCAAGGGACTCTCTATGGAAGGCACCTAGGATTAAATATGCATTGTCTGGACTGCACACAGACCCCCATGGACAGCTCCAAGTGTGACCGAATCCCACAGGAGAGTTCCGAGCCAGGGCCAGGGCCAGGGCACATTCCCTCTGAAAGTCTTCAGGATGGAAGCCACTTTCAAAGCAGGACGGAAGATCCAAAGCAGTTATTTGCTCACAAGAGCTGCAGCATGTGGGGCTGCTCAGCAATGGAGGGCCAAGAGACCATTTCCAGGAAGATGTGCACAACGGTGGAGCCCACTATTCTGCCGGGAAGACCAGAAGTGACCGAGGGCCACGGGCTACAGCCCAACACTCATGCTCCTTGGATCTGCCCTTGAAGGCCCCACTGGCTAACCTGTCATCCACAATAGAAATCCATGGAAAGCCCATCACTGCCAAATGACAGCCCAAGACCACTGATGACACGCGTGTCCATGTGAGCCCTCTACCACCTTTTCTCTGGGGTACTGTCCTGCCCAGGCTGAGCCACCACACCATGGATAACTCATGGCTCAGGAGCCAAAGAAATTGCTGCCAGGGGCCCCTGTAACCAACACTGGGGGGAGGGCCAAAGAGGCTTTGGCTGTCTGCCACAACACCCATTGCTCTCCACTGTCCCCCATCACTTTGGCACTCCCCTCTCCTCAGATAACTGAAAATCAAGACCAAGGTCTGTCTGAGGTCTGGGCCTTGTGCTCTCCTTGGCATAAAAAAAAGACCTGGTCCGCCACATAGAGAGGCCCATCAGGAGGTCAGGGTCTCCCTTCCTGGCAGCTCACCAAGCCAAGGCCAGCCGCACACTCCCCTAGGTCTGCATTTCCACCCACTTCTACAGTTGCCACGACATCACAGAGCAGCCAATCCCCCCATGACTCTCCTACTTGTATACCTCACACAGAGGGAATATTTCTATTGTGCCTGTGATGTGAGACTTTCATCCATGGACGCCCTGAGTGGTAGAACCTCTGGGAACCAGTGGAAGTTGTCCCTCGCTCCTACAGTCCCCGGGGGAGGCAATGTGCTGGACCTCAGTTCCGATGAGAACGACGGTATGAGTTCTCACTCATTTTGTTCAGCTTTTCCAAGGAATGTTTTTATGGGGGACTCATCATCGATCCAAGCACATTTGAAGGGGCAGGATATTTGACACCACAGGCTGGGCAGTGGGCAAGCCGATGACCTTAAAAACCCTCCGCACGCTGGGGAAGCCAGAGCTGCACCACTGAACAATGGGCACAGACCGTTCACTTTAGGAGTGGAACTCGCCATGCCATCAGTGGCCTGCTGAGAAACAGCTCCTTGCAGGTCTTGGAAATCCCACCCCCACTCAGCATGTGCGGCGGAGGAATGCTTACCATCCTGAGCCATCCACCAGCAGGGGGCGCACCGTGGATGCTAGGCAACACCAACTCCAGGATGTTGGGGGCCTTTGTGGCTCAGAAGAACTGACCATCTTCCTTGCCAGCATATGGCGGGTGTCCCATGATAACTGCCCCTGAGAAGTGTAAAGAAATCAAATGCATGCTTGAGAAATGGGCCCAGGTTCACTGGTCACTTCAACGCCACTCTCTTCCACAGAGCAACACACATGCCCGCTTCTCCTTGGCCTCCATTATGGACCTCCATCTTTATAAATGTATCTGACTGTGTCACTTTCTAGACACCTAGGAAGCACGTGTGGCCGGAACGACCACACGCACGTGGTGCTACGTATATTTGCCTGTGGCTGTGAGCGCCTGTTTGTGTGTGTGATAGTGTATGTGTGTTTCCCTCATGCACATGTGTTTCCCAACACCGCAACAGGAGGCCATAGTCTGCAGCCTCCAGACCTGAAGCCCCTGCAACCCGAAGGCTCAAGACCAAGGTCTTCAATCAGTAGGATGTAAAATCAGGCCAGGAGGACATAGGCCTGAGGTCCCTCACCTAACAGCCACCACCCCTGGAGTGAGCACATGCTCCTCCTCATGGGGCATCTGATGTTGTGACCTGACACTGTCTCTGGCTGCACTCCCAGGTGAGGCTCACTTGGCGGAAAACCAACCACAACCAGCACGTGAGGGCGCCTTCACAATTACCAACCCATAGGTCTGAAAATGGCATCAAGCCAGAGGCAATCTTCCCAACCTAGCCAAAGGATCTCAAGACACGGGCTTCCTCCACTCAGTCCACATGCCCGCACTGCACCTTCAGGACAACCGAAGGGAATGGCTGTTTTCCAACAGGACGTCCCTTCCCCAAGGACCAGGTTGACAGGACACACTGCCTTCCATGGTCCTTGCACTGGTTACACCCACAGGGCTTCTCTGCACAGAACTCTGAGGCAACATCCCATCATGCAGCCAACTTGACTGCATTACCACCCATCCCAACTCCTGCAAGTCAACACTGCCTCAGCACCATCACCAGGTCTACAAGTAAACAGCTACTAATGAGCTGCGATCTGCAGAACCACCAATCCCTTCCAACATTCCTAATGCAGTCGTGGGCCCCTCAACATGATATGGCTGTCCTGGCTGCACTGTGACATCAAACTGTTTAAGGGAGCTGAAATGCTTCATCACCCTTAGGGTGTAGCAGAATGCAACACTGGAACATCACCAACATGGGAGGTGCAGGGGCATCCCAAGTCAACGAACTCTCCATGGCAGGCCCCTAGAATGTTGCCTGGAATGCACCCGGATCTCCATGGATAGCCACGTGTGACCAATGCCCACAGCAGAGTTCCTGGCCAGGGCCAGGACACATACCCTCTGGACGCCTTCAGGATGGAAGCTGCTTTCAAAGCAGGAAAGAGGATCCAGAGCCATATTTGCTCACACGAGCTGCAGCAGGTGTGGCCGCTCGGCAATGGCGGGCCAAGAGACGACTTCCAGGAAGATGTGCCCAACAGTGGAGCCCACTACTCTGTCAGGAAGACGAGAAGTGACCAAGGGCCAGGAGCACAAGTCTGACCCTTGTATTCCCTGGAACCTGCCCTCTGACACCTCTGCTGGCCAACTTGTCATCCACTAGAGAAATAAATGGAAAGCCCATCAACGCTGAACAACAGCCCAAGACTGCTGATGACACACATGTCCACATAAGCCCCCTACCACCTCTTCTGTGGAGTACCTTCCAGTCCAGGCTTCCACCATAGCACCAGGGGCATCTCACGGCTCAGGGGATGAAGAAATCCCTGCTGGGGGGCCTCCATGACTGGATGCTGGGTGGAGGGCCAAAGAGGCTTTGGCTCTCTGTCACAACACCCTTTGTTATACACTGTCCCCCATCACCCTTGGCACTCCCTTGTCCTCAGCTAATCAAAAATCAGGACCAACATCTGCCTGAGGCCTGGGCCTTGTGCTCTCCCCGGCAAGAAAACAAGGACTCAGTCCTCTGCTCAGAGACGCCTGCCACGAGGTCCGCGTCTCCCTTCCTAGGAGCTCACCAAGCCAAGATCAGGCGCACACTACCCTAGGCCTGCGATATTTCTGTCTGCTTCCATGGCCACCAGGCCATCACAGAGCAGCCGTTCCCCCCAGGACTCTCCTACCTGTGTACCTCACAAAAAGGGAATGTTCCTAATGAGCATTTGATGGGAGACTTTGGCTGTGGATGCCTTGGGTGGTGGAACCTATGGGAATCAGTGGAAGTTGTCCCTCACTCCTACAGTCCCCGGGGAAGGCAACGTGCTGGACCTCAGTTCCGATGAGAATGACGGTATGAGTTTTCACTCATTTTGTTCAGCTTTTCCAAGGAATGTTTTTTTTGGGGACTCATCATCGATCCAAGCACATTTGAAGGGGCAAGGGGCAGGATATTTGACACCACAGGCTGGGCAGTGGGTGAGCCAATGACCTTAAAGACCTTCGGCCCCACTAGAGCGATGCCACTGAGCAATGAGCACAGACTATCCACTCTAGGAGAGGAACTCGCCATGCCATTAGTGGTTAGCTGAGAAACTGCTCCTTGCGGGTCTTGGAAATCCGAAAGACACCCTCATTCAGCATACTGGGCAGAGAAATGCTTACCGTCCTGAGCCACCTGCCAGCACACAGTGCGCCATGGATGCCAGGCCACACAGAATCCAGGACTCCGTGTGGCCTTCGTTGCTCAGAAGAATTGAGCATCTTCCTTCCAGCAGTTACCACACCTCCCACAGCAACTGCCTCTGAGAAGTGTAAAGAAATCAAATAAACGCTTGAGAAATGGGCTCAGGTCCACTGGTCAACACTTCAATCCCATTCTTTCCCGTTGGGCAACTTGCACACCCGTTATTCCTTGGCTTCCACGACTGACCTCCATCTCCATGAATATATCTTACATGTGTTACTCTGTGGATACCTAAAAGTGCACGTGGTCACATACGCCCATTGCTGCATGTATTTGCCTGTGGCTCGGCATGCCTCTGTGTGTGTGTGTGTGTGTGTATGAATGTGTGTGTGTGTGTCTCCCTCATGCACATGTGTTTCCTAACATGTGTGTTTCCCAACACTGCAACAGGCAGTCATAGTCTGCAGCCTCCTGGCCTGACACCACGCCAACCCAACAGCTGAAGACCAAGGCCTTCAATCAGTAGGATGTGAATTTTGACCTGGAGACCATGCGGACATAGGCCCAAGGTGGCTCGCCTACCAGTCAACTCCCCTGGTGTGAGTACACACTCCTCCTCACGGGACATCTGATGTCCTGAGCAGACACTGTCTCTAGCCGCCCTCTCAGGTGAGGCGTACCTGGTGGAAAACCAATCACAACCTGTGCTGGAGGGCGCCTTTGCAATGGCCAGCACATCAGCCTGAAACTTGGCGTCAAGGCCAGAGGTGGTCTTCCCAATCTAGCCAAAGGACCTCAAGACACAGCCTTCCTCCCCTCCACTCAGTCCATGTGCCTGCACTATGCCCTCTCGACACACAAACGGAATGGCTGCTTTTCCAATGGGACGTCCCCCCTACCGATGTCCCAAGGACCAGGCGGATGGGATACACTGCCTTTCATTTTCCTTGCATTGGACACACCCACAGGGCTATCCTGTACTGACCTCTGAGGCAACATCCCATTATGCAGCCAACTTGACTGCACTACTACCCGCCGCAATGCCTCAAAGTCAACACTACCTGAACACCACCACTGGGTCTACATGCATGCAGCTAGTGAGTGAGCTGCGAGCTCAGAACCACCCATCCTTTCCAACATTCCTAAGCCATCTGCATGCCCTTCAACATGGCATGGCTGTCCTGGCTGCGCTGAGACTTCAAACCGGTTAAGGGAGCCAAAACAGTTCATCACCCCTAGGGTGTAGTGGACTCCAACACTTAAATATTGCCAACATGCAGAGGTGTGAGGCATCCCAAGTAAAAGGACTCTGTGGCAGCACCCCTGGGATTGCACCCGTGTTGCCTGGAATGCACACAGACCTCCATGGATAGCTCCAAGTGTGACGAGTACCTACGGCACAGACTTGGGCCAGAGCCAGGGTCAGGGCACATTCACTCTGGACCTTCAGGACTGAAGCTGCTTTCCAAGCAGGAAAGAGGATCCAGAGCAGTATTTGCTCATACAAGCTGCAGCAGGTGGAGCCGCCCAATAATGGCGGGCCAAGAGACCATTTATAGGAAGATTTGCACAATGGAGGAGCCCATTACTCTCCTGGGAAGACTGGAAGTGACCCAGGGCCACGGGCACCAACTCGATCCTCGTGCTCCCCAGGACCTGGCCTCGAAGACCCCTGCTGGCCAACCTGTCTTCCACCAGAAAAATCCATGGGAAGCCCATCACCCCTGAATGACAGCCCAAGCCTGCTAATGACACTCATGTCCATGTGATCCCTCTACCACCTTTCCCCTGGAGTACCTTCCTACCTAGGCCTCTGCCACTGCACCACAGGCATCTCACAGCTCAGGAGGCAAAGAAATCCCTTCCAGGAGGGCTCCTGGTGACCAATGCTGCAGGGTAGGCTGAAGAGGCTTTCACTGTTTGCCCCGACACCTATTGCTCTGCACTCTCCCCTAACACCTTGGCACTCCCCTGTTCTCAACTAATCAAAAATCAACACCAAGGTCTGCCTGAGGTCTGGGCCTTGGGCTCTCCTCGACATGAAAACAGACACCTGGTCTTCTGCACTGAGATGACCACTGTGAGGTCCGGGTCTTCCTTCTGGGAGCTTACCAGTAGCACACACCCCTGTGCTGGCAACATTTCCACTTCCCCTAGGCCTGCAACATTTCTGCCTGCTTCCACGGCCACCACGCCATCACAGAGCGGCCGAATCCCCCATCACTCTCCCACCCATGTACCTCACACAGAGGGAATGTTCCTAACGTGCCTGTGACACGAGACTTTTGTCTGTGGATGCCCTGGGTGGTGGAACCTATGGGAATCAGTGGAAGTTGTCCCTCACTCCTACAGGCCCCAGAGGAAGCAACATGCTGGACCTCAGTTCCGATGAGAATGACGTTATGAGTTCTCACTCATTTTGTTCAGCTTTTCCAAGGAATGTTTTTATAGGGGACTCATCATCGATCCAAGCACATTTGACAAGGGGCAAGACATTTGACACCACAGGCTGGGAAGGGGCGAGCTGATGACCTTAAAGACATTCAGCATGCTGGGGAAGCCAGAGCTGCACCACTGAGCAATGGGCACAGACCATCCACTCTAGGAGTGGAACTTGCCATGTCATTCGCTGCTGACAAACAGCTCCTTGAAGGTATAGGACATCCAAAAGCCACTCTCATTCAGCACGTGGGGCAGAGGAATGCTTACCGTCCTAAGCCATCCACCAGCATTGGGTGCACCATGGATGCCAGGCCACAGTGACTACAGGACTCTGCAGGGCCTCCATTGATCAGAAGAATCAACCATCTTCCTTGCCAGCAGGCGGCTGGCCTCCCATGACAACTTCTCCGGGGAATTGTAAAGAAATCAAATACACACTTGAGAAACAGGCCCAGGTCCATTGCTCACCACTTCCATGCCATTCTCTACTGTAGTTCAACCAGTGCACCTACTTGTCCTTGGCCTCCATGACTGATCTCCATCTTTATGAATATACAATACCCATGCCATTCTGTGGATACCTAGGGAACATGTGTGGCCAGAACTACTGCACGTGCCCGTTTCTGCGTCTATTTGCTTTTTTCTGTGGGCTCCTGTGTGTGTGTGTGTGAGTGTGTGTGTTTATTTGTCATTTTCTGTCTGTGTGTTGTGTTTGTGAGTTTGCGTGTGTGTGTGTGTGTGTGTGTGTGTGTGTGTGTGTGTGTGTGTCCCTCCCTGGGGTGCGCATATGTTTCCGAACACTGCAAAGGGCCACGATGGTCTGCAGCCTCCAGGTCCGACCCTGTGGCAACCGGACAGCTCAAGAACAAGGTCTTCAATCAGTAGGATGTGAACTCTGACCTCAGGCCATGCAGACATAGGTCTGAGGTCCCTCCCCTAACAGCCACCACTCCTGGCGCGAGCACATGCTCTTCCTCATGGGGCTTCTGATGTCTGGAACTGACACTGTCTTTGGCCACTGTCCCAGGTGAGGTGTACCTAGCCAAAAACCAACCACAACCAGCACTGGAGAGCACCATCACAACAGCCAGCACGTCAGTCTGGAACTCAGCATCAAGCCCAGAGACAGTCTTCCCCATGTAGCCAAAGGACCTCAAGACATGAGCTTCCTCCCCTCCACTCAGTCCTGGTGCCTGCACCATGCCCTCAGGACATCCGAAGGTAATGTCTCCTTTTATTACAGGATGTCCTGCCTGATCCTACAAGGACCAAGCAGACAGGACACATCACCTTCCATCACCCTTTCCTTGATCACATCCATAGGATTTTTATGCACTGACCTCCCAGGCACCATCCCATCCTGCAGCCAACTTGACAACACTATCACTGACCCCAGTGCCTCCAGGTCAACACGGCCTCAACACCACCACTGGGACTAATTAATATTGTCAAAATATCCATACTACCCAAAGTTATCTACTGATTCACTATAATTCCTATCAAAATCACAATCACATTTTTCCAGAAATAGAGAAAAAAATCATACAATTTATCTGGATCCACAAAAGAACCAAAATAGCTAAATCAATATTCAGCATGAAACACAAAGGTGGAGGCACTTCTTGATTTCCAAGTATATAACAAAGCTATAGTAATTCAAAATACTAGAATACTGGCAAAAAACAGACATAATCTAATGGAAAAGAATGAAGAATGCAGAAATAAATCCATGTACTCTACTCAATTTATCTTTGACATGGGTGCTCAGAGCACAGTTTATCTAACTAATCATATTTGGCATACTGGATATCCGCAAATTAAAAAAAAAAAGTAAACTGAATCCTTACCTTACAACATACACAAAAATCAACTCAAAATAAATTAAGTACTTAAAGATACATCTTGACATTGTAAAACTAGAAGAAAACACATGGAAACCCTTCTTGTTTTTGTCAATAAGTTTTTGAATGTGACACTAAAAGTATAACCAACAAAAGCAAAAACAGACAAGCAAGACTACATCAAACCTAAAATGTTTGTACATGAAGGGAAACAATCAACAGAATGAAAGAGGAAACGTACCAAATGAGAGAAATATTTGCATATCATATCTCGTAAGGCTTTCACATGCAGGATGGGCATGGTAACTCATGCCTGTAATGTCAACACTTTGAGAGGCCATGGTTTGAAGATTCCTTGAGCCTATGAGTTTGAAACCAGCCTGTGCAACACAGTGAGACCCCCATATCTACCAAAAAATAAAAATTAAAAAACAATTAGCTAGACGTGTTGGCATGTGCCTGTGGTCCCACGAGCACGAGGTGGGAGGCTCTCTGGCACCTGGAAAGTTGAGGCTGCAGTGAGCCATGATTTTGGCACTGCTCTCCATGCTGAGCAACACAGCACGAAGGAAGGAAGGATGTGGATGTGATCAAGGAAGGGAGGAAGGGAGAAAGGGAGGGAGGAAGGGAGGGAGGAAGGGAGAAAAGAAGGGAGGGAGGGAGGGAGACAGGGAGGGAGACATGGAGGGAGACAGGGAGGGAGACAGGGAGGGAGGGAAGGAAGGAAGAAAGGAAGGAAGGAAGGAAGGAAGGAAGGAAGGAAGGAAGGAAGGAAGGAAGGAAGGAAGGAGGGAGGGAAGGAGGGAAGAGAGGGAGGGAGAGAGTGAGGGAGGGAGGGAACAAACTCAGATTACAACAAAAAACCCTAATTTTAAAAAAGGGGCAAAGTAATTGAATAGATTTTTTTCCAAAGAAGATAAACAAATGGACAACAGGTATATGAAAACATGCTCAGTATCACTAATTACTAAACAAATGCAAATCAAAACCATAATGAGGTATCACCTCACATCCATTAGAAGATACAATTGAAAAACAACGAGCCAGGCGTGGTGGCTCAGGCCTATAATCCCAGCACTTTGGGAGGCCAAGGCAGGTGGATCACCTGAGGTCAGGAGTTCAAGACCAGCCTGGCCAACATGGTGAAACCCTGTCTCTACTAAAAATATAAAAATTAGCTGGGCATGGTGGCAGGCACCTGTAATCCCAGCTACTCGGGGAGACTGAGGCAGGAGAATCGCTTGAACTCAGGAGGTGGAGGTTGCAGTGAACCAAGACAGTGCCATTGCACTCCAGCCTGGGCAACAAGAGTGAAATAAAAAACAGCAAGTGTTGGTGACAATGTGGAGAAACTGGAACCTTTGCATGCTGTTGATGGGAACATAAAATGGTACAGCCATTGTGGAAAAATGTATGGAGGTTCCTGAAAAATTAACAATAGAATTACCATATGATCCAGGAATCCCACTTTTGGGTATATATCCAAAGTAATTCAAAGCAAGATCTCAAACATACATCTGCATATCCATATTCACTGTAGCATTATTCATAATGCCCAAGAGGCAGAAGCAACCCAAATGCCCAAAGCAGATATATAAGGAAAATGTGATACATCCACAAAATACAATTTTATTTTCTTAAAGAAGGCATTTTCTAGGTATAGAACCATATCATTGGCGAACAGAGATCATTGACAAACTATGCATTTGACAGAAGCCTAATATCCTGAATCTATAGGGCACTTAAATAAATCAACAAGCAAAAATCAACCCCATTAAGAGGCACTTTTCAAAAGAAGATATAGAATGGTCAACAAACATATGAAAAAATGCTCTTAGTATCACTAATCATCAGAGAAATTCAAATCAAAACCACCATAAGGGCCCGATGCGGTGGCTCATGCCTGTAATCCCAGCAGTGGGAGGCCATGGTGGTGGATCACTCAAGGTCACGAGTTCGAGACCAGCCTGGCCAACATGGTGAAACCCCATCTGTACTAAAAATACAAAAAGTAGCCAGGCATGGTGGCACACGCCTGCAGTCCCAGCTACTTGGGACTCTAAGGCAGGAGAATCGCTTGAACCCGGGAGGCATAGGCTGCAGTGAGCAGAGATCACACCACTGCACTCCACCCTGGGCGACTCTGTCTCGAAAAACAAACAACGACGACAACAAAAAAAACCCCACAATAAGATAGTATCTCACAACGTCAGAATGGCTATTATTAAAAGCAAAAAAGAGAAAGATCCTGGCAAGCCTGAAGAAAAAGGGGAATGTTTAAACACTGTTGGTGGGAATGTAAATTAGTCCGGTCACTGAGGAAAACAGTCTGAGAATTTCTCAAATAACTTAAAACAGAGCTACAGTTTCACCCAACAATCCCATTTCTGGTATATACCCAAAAGAAAATAAATCATTCTACCAAAAGACACATGCACTTCAATGTTCATCACTGTGGTATTCACAAGAGCAAAGACATACAATCAACCCAGGTACCCAGGACTGGTTGTATTAGTCAGGGTTTCCCAGAAGGACAGGACTAATAGGATAGATGTATATATAAAAGGGAGTTTATTAAGGAGGATGGACTCACACAATCACAAGGTGAAGTCCCATAATAGTTCCTCTGCAAGCTGAGGAGCAAGGAAGCTAGTCTGAGTCCCAAAACCTCAAAAGTCGGGAAGCCAACAGTGTGGGCTGAAGGCCTGAGAGCCCCTTGCAAACAACTGGTGTAAGTCCAAGAGTACAAGAGCTTGAAGTCCAATGTTCAAGGGCAGGAAGCATCTAGCATGGGTGAAAGATGAAGGCTGGAAGACTCAGACAGTCTAGTCCTTCTATATTCTTCTGCTTGCTTTATTCTACCAGCAGCTGATGAGACTGTGCAGCTGATTAGATTGTGCCCACCCAGATTGAGGGTGAATCTGTCTCTCCCAATTCACTGACTCAAATTTTAATCTCCTTTGGCAACACCTTCACAGAGACACATCCAGGAACAATACTGTGCATCCTTCAATCCAATCAAGTTGACACTCAATATTAACTATCACACTGGTAGACTGGACATAGAAAATATGGAGCATTTTCACCTTGGAATACTATGTAGCCATGAAAAAAGAATGAAATCATGTTCTTTACAGCAACATGAATAGAGCTGGAGGCCATAATCCTAAGCACATTGATGCAGGAACAGTAAACTAAATGCCATACATTCTCTCTTGTAACTGGGAGCACTTGAAGGTAGAAGGTGGGAGGAGAGTGAGGATCAAAAAACTACCTATCAGGTACTATGCTTATTACCTGGGTAATGAAATAATCTGTACACCAAACCAACATGACTCACAATCTACCTATATAACAAACTTGCACATGTACTCCTAAACCTAAAATTTAAATTTTTTAAAAATGTATCAATTACTAGACAATAAAGATACAGAGAAATAAATAATAAAAATTCACTAGAAAAATTTAATCACACTATTTGAGCTAGCAGGAAAAGGTAATCGAATTTGAATACAGGACAGTTGAGGAGATCCATTCTGTGAAGCAGAAAGAAAAAAGAAAAACAGCTTCAGAGAACTGAGGAACACAGCATATCAACATGTTCATAAAAGTCACAGTAGAAGGGCAGAAACAGTTTGAAGAACAAACGCCTAAAATTTCCTTAATGTAAGGGAAAAACATACATGTACATATAAAATGAGTCAAATGAACTTGACTCACTCAAGTGAGATACACATAAAGACATGGAGACGTCATAGTAAAAATTTCAAAAGCCAGTCTTCAAAATATGAAGAGAAAAACAAACCCATCAGGTACAAGGAATCCTCAATGAGACTAACAGCTGATTTCTCATCAGAAACTCTTGAAGCCATAAAACAGTAAGATAACATATTCAAACTATTTTAAAGAAAAAGAAGTAAGACTGTCTACCCATAGATCTTGAAACAGCAAAAGTACTCTTCAAAAATAAAAAAGAAATGACATTCTAAACCAACAAAAGCTGAATTTGTCAAAATACCTATCCTACCAGAAAAATTAAATGGAGACTTCAGCCTTAAGTGAAATAGCACTAGACATTAACTTTGATCCATATGAAGAAATGCACAGGACCAGTAAAATAATTATTAGGCAAATATAAAAGATGGTATAAATGTTTGAATGACAATAATATACAAAAGGAAGGGTGAGAAAACAGAGCTATATTGAAAAATAGTTTCTGTGTACTATTAAAATTAACTATTAAATCTAAGCTATATTATAAATTAACAAATTAACTATAATCTCAAAGGCAACCACTAATAAGTAAACACAAAAAATTAAAAAGAAAATTAAAGCAGTACACTATTACTTATTTAACATAAAGAACAATAAGAAAAACAAAACAGATATATGCCATAAAAGAAAATAGAAAATGGCAGATGTGAATTTTACCTTATCAGTAATTACATTAAATGTTCATGAAGTAAACTCTCCACTTAAAAGGCAGAGATGTATCTTTTTAAAAAAACACATGATACAACTATATGCTCTCTACAAAAGATACACTTTAGATTCAAGGACAAAAAATAGGTAGAAAATAACCATCCTGGGCAAGATACCAAGATTTCATCTCTACAAGAAAAAAAATACAAAAAAATTAGCCAGGTGTGGTGGTGTTGGCCTGTAGTTTCAGATACTCAGGAGGCTGAGGTGGAAGAATTGCTTGAATTACAAGAGTTTCAGGTTGCAGTGAGCTATGATCATGCCATTGCGCTACAGCATGGGTGAGAGAGTGAGATCCTGTCTCAAAGATATTTTGTTTTAATTAAAAATAGGTAGATAGTAAAATAATGACAAGATAAACTGCATACAGTAACCAGAGAGAGTTTATGGGCTATAAGTCAGACAAAAACTACAATTATCAGGCTAAATAAATTTCAAGATAAAAATTGTTGGTAGAGGGCCAGGCACGGTGGCTCACGCCTGTAATCCCAGCACTTTGGGAGGCCGAGGTGGGTGGATCACGAGGTCAGGAGATCGAGACCATCCTGGCTAACATGGTGAAACCCCGTCTCTACTAAAAATACAAAAAATTAGCCAGGCGTGGTGACAGGTGCCTGTAATCCCAGCTACTCGGGAGGCTGAGGCAGGAGAATGGTGTGAACCCAGGAGGCGGAGCTTGTGGTGAGCAGAGATGGTGCCACTGCACTCCAGCCTGGGCAACAGAGCGAGACTCCATCTCAAAAAAAAAAAAATTGTTGGTAGAGACAAAGGACATTTCATGATGATTAAACTGTCAATCCATCAGGAAGATATAACAATAATAAAGATACGTGCATCCAACAACATAACCCCCAAATTAAATTTTAAAAATGACAGAATGGAAGGCAAAATAAACATTATAATAACTGAAAATTTCAATACCTCACTTTCAATGATGAACATAACAATGAGACAGAAGATCAAGGAAATAGAAGACAAACAACACTATAAAACAGTTACATAACATCCATCTATGGAACAATCTAACCAGTAGAAAATATATTATTTTCAAGTGCACATGGAACAGTGTGCAGGGTAGGTATTAGACCACACACTGGTATCAACAAATCTGAAAGTAAAGAAATCAGAAAAGTATGGTGTCCAACCACAATAGAATCATATCAGAAATAAAGGAAAAAAATTGGGGGGAATTCACAATATATGGAAATTAACACATTACTAAGAATCATTGGGAGTTCTTGGGAGAAATAAGAAAATTTATAAAATAGTTTGAAATCAAAGGAAACAAAACACAACAAAAGAAAATATATATGTAGCTAAAAGAGTTCTTTGGGAAATTTATAGCTGTAAATGTCCATATTAAAAAAAGGAAAATCTCAAATCAATAATCTAAACTTTTACCTTAAGAAAACAGAAAAACAAAGCAAAGCTAAATCAAGTAGAATAAAAGATATAAGAATAAAATGCCAATAAATAAAATAAAAAATACAGAAGAAAAATAAAAATATCAAAAGCTGGTTCACTGAAATTTTTTGTTTGTTTAGTGACAGGCCAGGTGTGGTGGTGTGTTCCCACACTCCCACCTACTCAAGATGCAGAGGTAGCAGGATTGCTTAGGCTCAGAAGTTCAAGGCCAGCATAAACAACACAGTAAGACTCTGTCTCTTAAAAAATTGACATAACTATATCTACACTACTGAAAACAGAAGACCCAATTTTCATAAAATCTGGGATGAAAATCAGACTAACACCCTTATATAAACAAGTTATGTCAACAAATTACATAACCTAGATTAAATAGGCACATTCCTAGAAATATATAAATTACAGGAACTGTCACAAGAAGGAAAAACAGAAAATTGAAGTCACCTTTAACAAGAGATTGAATTAGCTACTCAAGTTTCCACAAATAAAATTCCACACAAATGATTTCTCTGATGAATTCTACCAAATCATTAAAGAAATAACATCAATCCTTCACAACTCTTCCAAAAAACAGGAGAGCAGAAAACATTTCCCAACTTATTCCATGAGTCTACTATTACCCTAATTTTTATCAAAACCAAAGACATCATCAAAAGTGAATCACAGACCAATATCCCTAATGATGCCAGGCATGGTGGCTCCTGCCTGTAATCCTAGCACTTTGGGAAGCCAAAACAAGAGGACTGCTTGAGCCCAGTAGTTCAAGACCAGCCTTAGCAACACAGTAAGATCCTATCTTCACAAAATAAAAAATTTAAAAATTAGCTATGTGTGGTAACACATACCTGTATTCCTAGATACTTGGGAGGCTGAGGGTGGAGGATCACTTGAGCCCAGGAGTTAAGGGCTACAGGGTGAAGAGCTGAAGTGAGCTCTGACTGGGCCAATGTACTCCAGCCTGGGTGACAGAGAGAGACTTTGTCTTCCCAAATAAATAAATGAATAAATAAAATAAATTGGGCAAAATTCTACATTTGTCATTTCATGCAAAATTCAAATAGAATAAAAATGTAAAGGACAATGATTCAGAAATGAAGGTGGAGAGACTCACCAAAGTAAAATATACAGTATTTAGATATTATCCAGTAAGCCACTAAAAAAATCAACAAAAAGATCTCAGGATGTGGCATGGAACGCATGACGTATATGAATTCCAAAGGATGTTGGTTTAACTACTCACCCCTATTTTCTGAAGTGGAGGACCTCATTCCAGCCCTCCTCTACCTCAGCAAAACAAAATAGAAGAAAAAGAAATGGTCTCAGAAAATACTCAACAGTAAAAATAACAAAGCACTAAAATTGGTTCCTTTGTCAATATTTAATACAGGCATGCAGTGTTCCCTGCCTTCACTATACATCACAGTTCCTTGACCTTTCTTGACTGAAACTTTTTCATTTTTTCATTTGTTAATCAAGAACATATTTCCCATATATGTATCTATCTACAATTCTCTGCTCAAAATGAACAAAATAAAGTGAGTCTTGGGTCACTAACCATACTAAAGTGCATACTGACTCATAAGACAGGATGCTAATGCCCTCTTCGGAGAGATAGAAAAGGCACGCTCACAGAGGTACTATGTTGTCACTGAGGGATCCCCAAATAGAGCCAGGCTCTGAGAGTCTTATTTGTCCTATTGGAGGGCCACACATCTGGACCTCAGATTGACATCTGGAATGAGTCCCTCAGCATCCTCAGACAATTATTCTCATCATCGATCCAAACAAGCACCCTCCCAACAAATAAGCATTTCCACAGCCAGGCTTATTTTGTGCATGGTTATCTAATCCATCATCAGTGAGAAGAGTAAATGTACAGTAGACATTTGTTTAGTATCTGAATAATGGAACTCTCATATACATAGCATGAAAAAACATATGACTGAATTGTTCTAATAAAATTAGATTAAAATCTATTGGGAATTTTTTTTTTTTTGAGACAGAGTTTTGCTCTTGTTGTCCAGGCTGGAGTGCAATGGCACAATTTCAGCTCACTGCAACCTCTGCCTCCCGGGTTCAAGTGATTCTCCTGCCTCAGCCTCCTGAGTAGCTGGGATTACAGGCATGTGCCACCCCACCCAGCTAATTTTGTATTATTAGTAGAGACAGGGTTTCTCCATGTTGGTCAGGCTGGTCTCAAACGCCTGCCTCGGCTTCCCAAAGTGCTGGGATTACAGGCGTGAGCCAAGGCGCCCGGCCAGGGAAAAAATTTTTAAGTCCAATTAAGACCAATTAAATGAATTAAAACTTTTAGGAGTAGGCGAGGTAGCAAAATCAATATATACTGTGACTACATGACAAATATAAGTAGAAACATCTGTGTTCAGAATGTGCCAGATAAAATTTTTTAAATATTTAAGCCAGGCATGGCAGCACATGCCTGTAGTCCCAGCTACTCAGGAGGTTGAGGCAAGATGATTGCTTGAGCCCAGGAGTTCAAGGGCAGCCTGGGAAACACAGCATGACCCCATCTCTAGACTTTAAAAAATAAATATTTAATACACTGAATTTCACTAAAAGATTATTTTCATCCAACAAAAAATGGTGAGAAAAGGAAATATATCAATACTTCCCCCAATTTATTCAGGTTACTACAAAAAAATCCCTTTTTAAAAAAAGGGAAAAGATAATGAGATTCCTTGAACAAAGTAGGGATACTCACATAGCAAAAAAAATTATAAAATATTATAAAAAATATATAAAAAAATTATAAAAAAATTATAGAAAAAAGTTATAAAAATATTCTCCTTTGAGCCTCTAAAATCATGAACTCTCAGATCCTGAAATTCTGACATCACTGGCCACAACACACACAAACAATTTCAAAATCACCACAGCAGCTGCTCACCTCTCTTCCTTGAAATTCTGTGACATCTTCTAGACCTGCAGCAAACTATTAAAAACAAAGTAAATCAGATTAGACAATATACAAAATTCCCTAAAAAATAAGATACAAACATTGTTTCTGTAATAATTACCACAGAGCAATCTTTGCACAAGTCACAGATCTTTGGTCCTTTGTCACCTTTGTCATTTATTCATTTATTTCCTCCTCCAATTCCTCTTTATTTTTGAGATGGAGTCTTGCACTGTCGCCCAGGCTGGAGTGCAGTGGTGCAATCTCGGCTCATTGCAGCCTCCCTGTCTCTGATTCAAGCGATTCTCCTGCCTAAGCCTTCGAGTAGCTGGGACTACAGGCACGTGCCACCACGCCTGGCTAATTTTTGTATTTTTAGTAGAGATGGGGTTTCGTCATGTTGGCCAGGCTGTTCTTGAACTACTGGCCTCAAGTGATCCGCCCACCTCAGCCTCCCAAAGTGCTGGGATTACAGGCATGAGCCACCCCACGCTGCTAAAATTCTTCCTTCTTTAAATAGTAAAAATCGGCCAGGCACAGTGGCTCACGGCTGTGAGCAATTTTCTCTTCGAATCAGATTCTGAAGTTGTATTCCGCCAAATAAAGACTTTTTGAAAACGCCATGTGGTGGGTAAAATTAAATACACATAATAGGGGTGTTGTGAAACCAATATTCTAGAAGAGATAAAAACTTTAGGAATCTACTTCAATAGTACAGTAGATATATATCTCTCTCTCTGTGTGTGTGTGTATATATATATATATATATATATATAAAATCTTTGAGATCTATTTCAAAAAGTTACATAGAAATTAAAGATAGAAAGAACAGAAAAAATAAATGAAAAATTTCATAAAATAATTGGAAATCATAGAAAAGAACAAAATGTAATAGGGCACTTCCATTGTAAGACCTAAGAGAAGTAAGATGGAGTAAGCATAGTCCATCTTTACACAATCAAAGAATTAAGAATCTCAGGAGGGATGCACTGATACGGTGGCAGAGAACTTGGAAGGCTAAATGTTTGAAGGTGAATTGGGGAACTCAAAGTGCCATAAAACACCACTGAGTTTCATGTATTTTCCTTTTCTCTAATATCCCAGCCTGAATTCAGTATTGGAGAGTTCCTGAAAAATAAAAACATAAAACTGCTTGTTGAGTACAAAAACCAATACTTTTTTTTTTTTTTTTTTTTTTTTTTGGGTGAAACAGAGTCTCGCTCTGTCACCCAGGCTGGAGTACAGTGGCACAATCTCAGCTCACTGCAAGCTCCGCCTCCTGGGTTCAAGTGATTCTCCTGCCTCAGCCTCCTGAGTAGCTGGGACTACAGGCGCTCATCACCACGCACAGCTAATTTTTTGTATTTTTAGTAAAGATGGGGTTTCATCATGTTAGCCAGGATGGTCTCGATCTCCTGACCCTGTGATCCACCTGCCTCGGCCTCCCAAAGTGCTGGGATTACAGGCATGAGCCACCACGCCCCGCCACCAAGATATAACTTCTATACTTACTATTTCAATGTAACTTTTTTTTTACAATAAGAATAGTTCACATCAATATTCAACAGAATATTCATTTTGCATAGACTATTATCTGCCTTCAAATGTAACAAAAATTATCTTAAACATCACTTACAGACAGGTCCTCAAAATGTCAAATAAACACAGTTACTATATTCTCATGTATAATAGAATTGAAAACATAAACACACAAAAACCTCCACATAAATATTCCTGGCGGGATTAGTCATAATAGCCAAAAACTAGTGAGTGGATGAGCAAAATGTGATATATTTATACAATAGAATATCACTCCTCCATCAAAAAAAATGGAGATCTGATATATGCTGCAACATGGCCAAACCTTGAAAACATTAGGCTAAGTGAAAAAAATTCTGGGTAAAAAGGCTTCCTTCTAATATAAATGCTTCAAATGCAGGTATCTACAAGGCCTGCTGGTATTATAGTACTCATCCATTTATTTCACATTTTCATGTTTCCTGAGCATTTATGTATGCTTGAAGCCATATGCCCAAACCATTTCTTTTTGACATGTTCTTTTGCATTATTTTCATCAACTACTTTCAGACCTGCTGAACAGATACAAGACTATCCATAATTCCTGGATTATTTCCACCTGGATTCCCTATTTGCTAACATCTTACAACATCTGTTTCATTTTTTTTTTGAAACATGTATATTATTTTATCCAAATGCTTGGAAAATTACAGCTATGACATTATCCCTTTATCCTTTAAATTGTTTTAATTTCTTAAAAACAAGAATTTTCTGTTATATAACCTCAGGCAATTATATAACTTAGGCAATTAATACTCACGTAACACTATAATCTACTTGAGGGACTGTCTTCAAATTTTGCCAACCTTCCTTATCCTTTTATAGACATCCTGAACCAATGTGATATTCCATTCTCATGTCTATATAGTCTGAAATAATCTGGACCATTTCCTCAGTGAAATTAGTATGTTTGAATACTAAAAGCAAAATATCAGTCAATTTGAGACTGATGTTTCCTCATGGGTAGACTCAGGTTTCTGCAGTTTAGTCAGTAATACTACAGAAATGAGACTGTGTTCTTCTCAGTGCATCCTATCAGCGCTGCCTGATGTTCCCACTACTGTGGTATTAACTTTCACCTCTTTAATTCAGGTGCTGTCAACCATGTTCTCCATCAGGAAGCTACTACTTTCCCTTTGTAACTGATAAGGACACCAAATGTCCTGTTTCTCTTAAAATTTTCTCCAAGTTTTAGCATCATTTGATGATTCCTGGCTGAAACAATTATGATTATTTCCAAATACTGATTTTCCAAATCTTGTCATTTCTTTATTAACGCTACCTATTGTACAGAAGAGCTTTACCGTCAACCTTGCCTAAGCATTCATTCGTATTAATAATATTTTAAACATCTTACTACCATTGATTAGGTCTCTCATCCTTCCGGAAACTGTGTCCAAATATTCCAAAATGGTGTCCGACAAAACCAGAGGTTGTTCACTGCTCAGTATCCAGTGGTATCCTATTTGAGGGATGCAGCTTTCCCCATCTCTGCTTTCTCCTTCTGTACTTTTTCTTCTTCAGCATTCTCAACATGTCAGAGACCCAGCTGCAAGAATCTCATATAGTCAATTTCCAACCCCCCAAATACCAGAATATACACAGTTAGAATGGCACTGTGCATTCCTTACATGACAAATAGTCAAAATTATAAAAATATTTCAATAACTGCCATAGCAAAGCAAAATTTATGTCACAATCCCCCATGCTTACCATTTTAACCAAAGTTTCAGCTACTAGCTGAGAACTGCTAAGGGATTGCATTCACAAGACACAAAGTGCCGTCTTTAGAAAAGGGTTAGAATGAATGAAGAAAATGGAAGAGAACTGATTATAGATTTTGTAGAATGGGGGAGATTTTGTAGAATCCAGACCATATGATCACAAATTACACTGGAAAAATATTCCAAGAGGTTATGCCCTTCAAATCTAGATCAGTTGGCAATTGTTTCTTCACTCAGATATTACCATGGACCTTTTCCCTGCTATTGGCAGCATTTAAGTCATCATATTACCTGTCACCAGCTCTATTCCAAAGTTAGCTTCTTCCATTTAGTGATCCTCTTTCTACTGGCCATTTCTCTTTGGACTTTCATCTGTGCCTCCATGATGTCTCAGAGCTTTGTGTATAATATGGTTTCTGCCCGGGAACATGTTGTTCCACATCCTGAGCAAAGGCACCCCATATTTCTAGAAGTAACTCCTTAAAGGTTTATACTGTAAGAATTTCCAAAAGACAAGTTCCTATTCATGTTTTTCTCCTGTTCCTACAATATACCAACACTTACACTTTCTGTCCTGAGAAGCTGCACTTAATAATTATCATGTCTCTGGCCTTAAAGACAAAAGAAGAATGAATATGACTTCTGAAATGTGGGTTCTTTCACAAAACATGATTTTGCTCAATGGGTTTAATAAATCATAAGTATTTTTAATTATTATTATCCAAAGGTTGTGACATCCTAGGATAGGTTTATTTAACTTCTATATAATAGAATGAATTACAAAATTCAAACTCAACCTCAATTTACTTATCTTTTAAAAAGACAAATTCGTTATTCCATCTGTTATTATAATAATAAGTTATTATATAATAACATTATATAAGTTATTATATTATAACTTATAATTCATGTAAAGTGTTGATCTCCCCATCTGGTACATGTGATAAAAATTCAATAAATGCTATAGTTAATTGAAATACATGTATGTATTCAAAACACACAAACACACAAATGCAACAATAAAATAATGACCAGAACTCGCTGTATTTTGTGAGTATTCTTCCTATAAAAGTGGTTTTATTGACCGTATCATAACACGCACATACATTTATCATTTCATATGAGTGAAATAACAATGTTGAACACAGTTGGTACTCAATAACTGGTAAACAAACTGCTAAAGTTGTTGGATTTTTGTATCAATTAATTTGAACATGCATCACGGTATTCAGAACTGAATATAATTCAATTGGTTAAATGTGCCATCACTAATTTTCCTAACATTATGATTTGACAAAAATGTTATTTACTATTTTACAATTATAATTAATACTACATTGAGTTACATGCATCTTTGAACACCTCCTATTATATCCTTATAGGTAAATATCTAAAACTAAAATTGTTGGTCAAAAGTGCTAATTTCCATCTTACATATATTTTCTACTACCTTCCTGAAAGATTTTAACATATCAGGAGTTGTAAATTCTCCCCACCTTGTTAACACATATAATCTGTTAATCTGATAGGTGAAAAAAGGCAAATAATTGTTTTATTTTATATATATTTTAAGTATTTCATATATACACAAATTTCATTATTTCCTTATAATGACTGGTAAGATTGAGCACATTTTCTATGCTCTTGGCCATTTGCAATGCTTTTCTTTTATGAATTGTTCATTTACGTGCTTTCCCAATTGATTTGAATGAGCCTTTCAACACTAAATTTGGCATATGTTTTGAGTAAATATACATACATTACTGCAAAAGAGAAATTGCCCAAATTTAATTTTAACTTGGCAGTTTATTCATTCTTTTTACCTCACCTTTAATTACTGCAATGCAGATAGCATCAACAAACAAGAGCAAATTTGTAAAAACCATTTAATTGGATTAAAGATGGCATTCATTTGCTATGTATATTGTTGATGCTATCATGTTTTTACAAGCTGAGTTAAAGAATAGCTCTGGCATGTAGTAATCTTACTCTGATGTGGTGAAACAATTACAACTGCTCAAATGAAGTCAAAATAGGCTAAATTCATTGTCCAAGGAGGATGGATACCACCATGGCTGCTCAGAGACAATACTGCTAACTGGGAAAAGAAGGCAGGCAAGATTTTGGAACTCCTTGGAACTTTATAGATGAAATTTGGAAGAAATAGGTTCAATTTTGAAACATAATTTATCAACTATAACTATTACAGCAAGGGGTTTATATCATTCCAATTACTTCTACTATGCTTGTTTTGCACTGTTTAGGTGATG
Source organism: Homo sapiens (assembly GCF_000001405.40). Classification (NCBI taxonomy): domain Eukaryota; kingdom Metazoa; phylum Chordata; class Mammalia; order Primates; family Hominidae; genus Homo; species Homo sapiens. Next base: position 25,035,266 of record NC_000015.10, on the reverse strand, counting down.
TTAATGGCACGTGGTAGTCATTTGTATCACTCACAGATGGAATTTGGCAAAAGAGCTAAAAAAATTTTTATGAAAATGAAAATGTTGAAATAATACTCTAAATATTATTACCATGTGGCTGAGTTGATGTGATTATTTTTTCAGGTTCCAGTTTAGCCAATGCTCTGGTTTCCCAAAGGGTAAACTCCAGCCCACAGGATGCTTTTGTAAAGTTTTATTGGAAGAAAGGCACAGCGCACTCATTCAATTATAAATTACCTATGGCTGCTTTCATAACACAACAGCAGAGTAGATTAGCTGCAACAAAGACCACAAGGCTTTCAGAACTGAAAATGTGTATTTGGCAATTTACAAAAAAAGTTTGCCAATCCATGGTCTAGTTTAACACAGGCTGGAGAAATAATTCTACATAATTAAAACTGAGCTCTAAATGTGGAAATACAAAAGACTGAAATGGCAGAGTCATCATATCTACTCTAAGTTTTCTCAGACCCAGAAGACAAAGAATGTCAGCACTATTTTGATTTTTTTTTTTTTCATATTCAAGCACAGTATAACAAGGCCAGAGTGCCTGCTGGACAAGGTCCCTGAGTTAGGGCATGCTCTCTTCTAGTTTTTCTTTCTATACATCACCACCTCACAGATCACCATCACCACTGTCCATTCACATGGAGGTAACTCCTTTGAGTTTCCACTGCTATGCCCTTCTGTCTCTTATGCCAAACGGCACAGATAGATTACAGACGAATGATTGATAAAGACAGATATATAGATGATAGATAAAAATGGACTGATAGATTATTTAACAATAGATAGATAAGATGAATTTAGATGAAAGCAGAATTGGGGAAGTTTGAGAACTACCAATAACATCAGACATTAGGATACGAATCAAGGTATTTCTCAGAACAGAACACTTACTGTACCACATAAGCTTATTTATCTTATATGTACATTGGTATGCTGTTTCTGAATTTTTCTTAAGACCACAGAAAGACAGTAACTATGTTTTAGTGATGGTATGCACTACAAGAAGTGCAATCATGCTGCTTTCCTGCATGATCATCATGGGAGTTGACGTGGAAATTATGAGAAATGTGAAAAAACATACCATTTGAATCAAATAGATAAAATTGGAAGATTCACATCATCTTCCTCGAATTCTGAAGTTGTAAGGTGCCTATATCCCATTTATACTCAATCAAAAATGGTATTTCAAGAGCTAGATCAATTCTATGTTAGGACTCATCAAATGTCTACAACACAGCACAATTCACAAAACATAACATAAGCCTATGTTTTGACCCTAATATTTTCAATTAATTAAATAAAATCTTTTTACCCTGCTTTTTCTCATGAACAGTCATCCATTCACTTTCTAATTTACTCTTTCACTGTAAATACCATGAAAGCAAATTTAGTCATTTAAAATGGAATAATAATTTTCTGTTTCACTTTCCAGGATGTGATATTATCAAAACTGTGAAAGAGATACAAACAGCAACACATAAAACTGGTAATAGTTCTACTCTTTGTTAAAGTATCTACCACATCCTGATTTGCCAATCAAAACTTCTGTTTCAACTATTTGCTATATCAACTACTCAAAGAAGAAAGTGGTTACATTTTATTTGTAGCCTTTAGACAAAAGCCACATGCATCGACTCATTTCAGATGGCCAGAATGTCCACCGTGGGGTAGCTCACTTATTCTCTCTTCTGGCAAGATCAGAGCTCGCTACACCCCTTTGCTTATGAACTATGGACTGAAGACTTAAACTGTGGGAAAGAACACTTAGGCAAGTTAGCTACAGATACCAAGGGGAAAGAATTTCTTCGTTTTATTCATTTTTTTCTAGATTTTTCTCTGGCATGAAAAAATGCATTGTGGAGAATGCTTCCACCCCTTGGAAGTGGTAAAAGCGGGTGATAATGCTGGGAATGAGGGTAGAGAAGAATACTTAGCTCAAATTAATCACCAGGTATTTCTAATAATAATACCAAAGCAAACTAGAACATAACGCTTAGTGAAATCAATGCTCTATCTGTTTTGGATGAGTGGAAAATAGATACTCACACCAAGAGATTATTCCTACATGAATACAAAACTCTCACTAGGCAAAATACAAAGCAGGTAGACCTTGGAAATATAGAAAGTTTATAAAAATTGTGATGCTTAAAAAAACCTACAGAAATGTGAACATGTATACTTTTTATAAAAAACAGTGAAAATCAGAGAAGTTTCATGTGGGATAGACAGCTCTACTATTTTAGGCTTGGGTACTTTAGAGTACAAATCAGTAAAACTAGCTAGCACAGTATTGTCTCATAAGTTGAAACTTTTCTCCATCAGGTCAAGTAAGACATACAGGTCTGGCTACTAGTAATAGAAGAATACATGTTATCAAACTAAGCCCCCAACAGATATCAACTGTAAACTCCAGAATTAATATAAAGACAGCTATCTAAAACCACGGAGAACAACCAAAAGCAAGCCAACACTGGAGGAGAGCGCACTCTTGGAGGAAAGGAATTTCCCTGTAAGTTTCCAATTTCAAGGAATTTTGCCGAAAGGCATCCTCAGTAGTGGCTGAAAAGTGGGAGGAAATTCCCACACTGTAGCCAATCAGACACGGGAAGCCTGAATGAAATTCTGTGTATAAGTTCTGCTGAAATCCTTTGGTTGACCTCTAAACTGCCCATCATGTAGGCCAGACTCAAAGTAACCCAACCAATATGAAAAGAAAAGAACTGAATAGAGCGTAGGCTGCTTCCCACAGCACACGAGGCAGCCTGGAGTTTGAATCCAGCTAAGTTAACTGCTTGCCTTAAAAATAAATAAGTAAAAGTATCACTACCCTTTATAGCCATAGCTCTCAATGAGAAAGAGTGAGTAAAGATGCATGATTTTGGCCCCAACACCATAAAAAAGAGCGCTTAGAAAGGACTGAAGGCATTTTTTGGCAGGGGATGTGGGGAGGAGAGAGAGTTATGCTACTGGTAAGTAGTGAGTGGAGACAAAGGATAATACTCAGTACCCCACAATGCATATAGAACAGTACCCTCCCAAAATACACACAACAACACAAACAAAATGACCCAGTTCAAAATGTCAGTAGTGCTGAAGCTGAGAAATATTGTTTTAGAAGAATAAAATAGAATTCAGAGTTTCTACAGTATATTCAAAGTTCAAGTTACAATCCAAAATTACTTGACATACAAAGAATGAAAACTATAATCCATACTTAAGACAAAGGGCAATAAAGCTACCCTGGAAGCAGTCCTGATGTTAAAATTCTGAAAAAGCATATAATTATGCTGAAGACATAAAGAAAAATGTGCTTATACTAAATGAATAGGATAGCACATCAAATACAACATAATATTAAAAATAAAGAACTGGTTGGCGCGGGCATGAGGCCGAGGCAGGAAGACTGCTTGAGTCTGGGAGTTCAAGACCAGCTTGGGCAACACAACGACCCCATCTCTACAAAAATAAAAAATTAGCTGAGCGTGGTGGCATGCACCTGTAGTTCTAGCTACTTAGGAGTGGGTAGGTTAAGGTGAGAGGATCACTTGAGACCAGGAGGTCAAGGCTGCGGTGAACCATGACACTGCACTCCACCCTGTGTGACAGAGAAAGATTCTGTCTCAAAAACAAACAAAAAGCAGAAAATATCTGGAACTAAAAAATAAAATAAATTAAAAAGAAAATTCACAGGATAGGCTTAAGAGCAGATTGGGAAAAAATAGAATAAACAGTGAGTGAACATGGATGGAAACAAATTATTAGGTTGTTCAAAGTGAAAAACACCAAAAATAAGATTTAAAAAGAATGTCAGGTATCCATAGAAAAATATTAATAGGTCTAATACATATGTAAAAATTGGAGTCCCAGGGGGAAGAGACTGAAAAGTTATATTTTAAATGGCTGAAATCCCCCCAAATTTAACATAAAGCACAACATTTACAGATTCAAGAAGTTCAAACAACCAAACAATATAAATAAAAACACACTGAGTCACATCATAACCAAAACTGACTCAATACTTAGGTAAAAATATCTTAGTAGGTAGGAGTCAGAGAAAAATGAAAAATGGCACATTTAAAGAAAAAGAATTACACAAAAATAAAGACTTAAGTATCAACGGAGTCCAGAAAACAGTGGATTATCTTTGAAGTGCTTAAAGAAAGCCATTAATTCTATATTTAGTAACAATATATTTCAATGAAGAAGACTTCAAAAAAAGACACAGTTGAATAAAAAGTAAACTAATCACCATATACTAAAAGAAAAATTATCATCAGTAGGTCTGCTATACCAGAAGTGCTAAAGAAAGTTCTTCAGGCAGATGGAAAGAAACTTGGATCTTCGGGAAAGAATTAAGATCACTGAAGTTGGTTCATATTTATGTAAATATAGGTGATTTGAAAAAAAGCAGCATTAGAGTGAAGGTAAAATTCTGACTGAGAAGCCAGATTCAAACCTAGCCATTCAGATTGCTCAAGCAGTGTCAAAAGTAGCAGCTACTGGCATAGCAACTAGCCCTTTACTCCCATTGGTAACAACTCATTTCCCTTGCATTCCCAATAAACCTGAAGATGGACTCAAAATACCATCACTACACTTCCTTCTCTGCAGGGGTTAAGAAGAGTTAGCAAAGAGGGAGCCATGGCAAAGCGACATTCACATAGAACAGACATATGAAAGCCCCAGAGAGAAAACATTTTCTAATTTCCCAAATTCAGACATTTTTATGGTCCTTTCCTATCATTATTTTAAAATAAATCACTATATTCTTAAAGAGTTAATACCTACACCTCTACACCTTATTAAGAAATCACTACATTTTATGTTCTCTTTTCAACATCATCAAACATGGCAGATTCCCAAATTATCCAAATATAGCAACAGGATATAGTAATAATATATGACAAATAATACATAGAATATAACATACTAATATATGTTACATATTATATCAAAAAGAATATTGCATGACTATCAGAATATCACATTCTCCATTATTTCCATATTCTCTCTCATTCATGACCTCGCTGTCACTCATTCCATCACAAATTTTATTCAATAAACTTTAATGAAACTCATACATTTTTATCTTGACATTTTATCGTAAGACAATAGAAAGAAAAAATCCCTGTCAAGTAGGAGCTCGTTATATTTTGGAAAAACAACACAGAACACAAGACAAAGTGTATTGATAAGGATATCAACACAATATTCAAGAGCTTGAAGTGGGGAGCCTAAGAAATCAGGTCTATATGCAGCTATTTACATTAAGGCATACTGATCAATCCTAGGATACTTCATGTCTGCCTGCCACATAACAATGGTCTCAGTGCAAATGTACCATCTTAGCGTGATTCTATTCAGATGTTCTCTCCAAACCTGCATTTCTCCACTGAGATATTGGGTGGCTGTGGGTAGGAATCCCATATAATATTATCACTGAAGAGAACCATGAATCAACAAGACAATTGAACAAGGCTTTGGCGGATATGATACTACTTCAAACTGAACAAACAGCCATACCTTTTCTGAAGTTTATAACGTCAGAAGAAATCTTAAACTTATTCACAACAGCTGGTAAGAAGCCAGAATGAAAGGAAGACAAGGAGTCATATACCCTATATACCCAATGTCTCAATATCCTTCTAAAAATCAACACTTTCTGACAACTTAGTCAGCTCCTTACTAATAAAGCATTTTTCTACAGGTTTTCACCTCCTCAGAATCTCCACTACGGTGTCTTGTGGACTTCCCGAATGTAAGAGTAATGTGAAAGGTTCACAAACACTTCCTTCTTATTTTCCTTATTGTCTCTCTTGGTCTCTTATTTAAAACACATACACTCTTCCCATCTGTTATTAATCAGTAGACATTTCTTCAACACTCCTTGAATCCCAATATTAAACAAATGAACTGGATCACAGAAATAAGTATAACTCTACCGTACAGCAATATAAATACTGTGTTACAGAAATACTGAGTGGTCACACTGAAGTCAGCGACATACATTGTACTTTATTGTTCCCTCTCTTGATTGAAAGTAATTAGACAGTGACTATATTCTATGATTCTATCATTGGCCTGTCTACAGCCATTCTCCCCCAAGAAATTTTTAAAATAGAGTAGTATATAATATGGAGAAAATGAATCCTTTCTAAGGACTGACAACACATAAAAAGTGCACTACTATGAAATATGTTGACTTTTCCCGGATTACAAAGTCTACCATGCATATGGCTTCCTCTTTGACTGTTTTCCTTTGAGAAAACAGTGAGAAAGAGGACACTAATGGCACAGGCTATACAAGCAGGAAAGAAAACAGGAGCTATACTCTATTACTGCACAAATATCAGTGGGGATTTATGCCTAATCCCTAAAAAAAGACTTTCACCATAAGAAGTCTAATCCAGCAGATGCTGAGTTCCCTAATACCAGAATCTATATTTACACAATCCAACTCAACATGGTCTACAGCATCTATGATTTCCTCAGTCATGCCATAACATTCTCAAAAAAGTGTGAAGCAGCTACTTCATATTGGGTCTCTAGAAATTCTTCTTTTACTCACCCTTCAGGTGATTGGGGCTCATTCATCAAAATTTCACTCATCCATGGTCTAAACAAGTAGTTTAGACCCATTATGAAATTAAATATCTGCTACATAAAAGGCTCTGTAAGGTAAAGGAAAGTATGAAGAGGAAAATATCCCTGTCAATAGGAGCTCATTATTTCTAGTCTGTTAGACACAAAATGAAGGAATGAAATGAAATTTGGTAAGTGAAATGTTAAGAGGCATAAAGTATGTTGGACAAACAATTTTCTACAGACTCATATCTAACCCATTAGTTAGGGAATGACAATGTACAATGACTGTACAATTCTTCAGGTTAAGCTGGAAAAGAACACCTTCCACAATGGTACTTTATCCCTGACTTTAGTGATGGTTTTTTTCTCCCTGATTTTAGTGATGGGTTTTTTTTTTTTTTGAGACAGAGTTTCATTCTTGTCGCCCAGGCTGGAGTACAGTGACATGATCTTGGCTCACTGCAGCCTCCGCCTCCCAGGTTCAAGTGATTCTCCTGCCTCAGCCTCCCAAGTAACTGGGATTACAGGCGCCCGCCACCACGCCCAGCTAATTTTTGTATTTTTAGTAGAGATGGGGTTTTACCATGTTGGCCAGGATGGTCTCAAACTTCTGACCTCAGGTAATCTGCCTGCCTTGGCCTCCCAAAGTGCTGGGATTACAGGGGTGAGCCACCACACCCGGCCTCGACTTTAGTGATGTTATTGTATTTTAAATGTAGGTTCAACACACCTTGCCCTTGCCCTACAACTTTCTTTAAAAATTCGACCTTTTGTACATTCTATCTTGCTTTACTCCCTCGATTCCTAGCACCATCCTTTCTTCATTCCTTTTTCACTTATCCATCATTAGGTTGTTACTTTTTCTTTCAGCTGGCCCCTTCCATCCATTCCTTTCCTCAACAATCTTTGCTAAATGTCTGACACAAGCCAAAACAATGAAATGCAATCCTGCCGTAATGAAAACTCTACCGTGGCCAATGAATGCAGGTACAGATAGAGACACTGCAAGTGGAAACTCCAATGATAAAGCTACGTAAGGACTGCTGTTAGAAGATTGAAAGGATGTAATGAAAACATCAAGTTTTATCTTGTATACATATAATGTGGAATGATGAAGAGGATCTAAAATTGTACAACTGGGATGCATCTTCACATACTAATTGATGAAAGCAACTCACAGGTATCAGCATGTGTCTATGCTGGGCTAACAATGGTAACCTAATTATAGTACAGACCATCAACTCAAAGGTATTGTTTGATTTGGCCTTTTCAATAATAAGAGCACTACGATTAATGATACTCAATTTTCAAATTGAACTGTGTCTTTTCAATGCCATGCAAAAGCCACTGCTGCCCCATTAATTTTTAATCTCACTCTTCATGTATCTTCAGGAACACTACAACCCTTTGGTTTTCACCAGTAACTCTAGCCACAATCTCCTTTAATGGGTCTTCCTCATTTTCTCAATATCTAAATGCTAGAGCATCCAAAGCATGGTCTCAGACACATATGTTCCTACTCCCACATACACTCTATCTCTAGATCTCATCCTTTCCCACAGCGATTAAGTATTATCTCTACCTCCAAATTCCCCCCCAGCTCAAGCTTCCTATTTACACTTTAAAAACCAAAACCTTAATCTGTGGGTTTAATATGGATCTAAAACTGGCAAAATAGCATTTTTATAAAAAATCATGCACTCAGAGAAAACCAACCCTCCCTAGCAGTTGTTGAGGTCTAAATCATAAGTCCTGTTTCCGTCCTCTTCTCCTCTCACATGATACCATTCAATACTTTATCAAGTAGAACTGGCAAGGATTTCAAAATACACCCCAAATCCCATACTTTGTAATACTTTCATGTAAGACAACCTAATGTAACACCTATGTACAACTTATATAATACAACTTATTTCTACTTTTGCTATTAGTATTTATATCATCCAGTGATCTTCATCCTACCTAACTTGTTTTAATATACATAAAATATAGAAAGTTAAGTACTGCAGAAATAAAAATTGTAAATCTAAAAAAACCCAAAGCAGTTGGAATGCTAATTATGAGTAAAATACAGCCATTGAACAAGGCATTCTTATCCAAGGCATTAGGGAGAACACTCGCTAAATCTTGGAAATGACTGAATGAGACATGAGATGACATTTTTAAAATCTCTAATTCCTGAAGATAAACAATGAATCGATTTTAGAATCAAATTATCTTGTGGAAAAAATCAAGATAACATGATTGTCATATATTCCAAGGTGACAAACGAGATACAACAATGTAACAGAATATTTCAAACCATCAAATAAACATGAGACTGGTATTTTTAACCAACTGTACTTTTGTCTTGGAATTAACTTTACTAGATAAATCAAATACCAGAAGAGTCAGAGGCCTGAATTTTTTTGTGCAAATCGTTTATCAGTCAGCAGTGAACCTCAACAAATATAAGGAGAAATAAAAGGCTACAATCTTCTCCTCGGCTTTCCTTGGTCTATGTCACTCTGCTCCCACTGGAAGGAAGAGGCTCTAATTTGATCGGTGGAATGATAACAGTACTTACTCGGCTATTCTTTAGAGGGCAATCACTGTGTTCCAAGGTCAATCACAGATATGCAGAGTGCATTTACGTTCCTCTGCATCCTCTTATCAAGTTCACAGAATGCTTAATTGAAGGTTCTTTTCTTTTTTCAACAGACCAAGCCATGTTGTTCCCTTACATGCATCTTCAGGGTATGGGCATATGGGTTCCGTTCAGATTTAAACTTAGAAAGGATGAATTCCTCTGTGGAGTTACTCCACATTTCTTCCTGAATCAAAACGTGTCCTGCAGCACAGTTTCTATTACCATCAGAGAATCATATAATAGTAATGTACTTTAGTGCTGTGACTTCCATTGTTGGTTAAAACTTACTTTATATCATGGAAAATTTAAAAGTTTGCTACACTGAGGCTGAATTTTTGAATTTGGTATTAAACCACCTTCAATACTCTCATATATATAGCTTTGTGGAACAGGGTATGTTTTAGTCAGGCAGATTCAGGTTTTCTGATACTCCCTTACTGTATTATATGTGAAAGCAACAATATGCATATTAAAATGTCCCTGGCGGCCTTTTCCACTTGGTTTTCATTCTTTAGGTAACAATTATTGTTTTTTTTCCTACTGGCTACTTGTCTATTTGTACATTTATTCACTTGGTGCTTCATTTGTTTACAATCAGTAATTTTTGGCCTTACTTCCATTTTCTCCTTCATACGTTGAATGAACAATATTTACTGGGCCTCTGCTGCAACCCTGCCACTGAAGACTAAGTACAAAGTTACATACAGAGAGCAGGGAACATTCAGATCACCACTTTTGACCAAGCCTTAGGTCATGTTCAAGCCTCTGATTCCACTGCACTGGTTCCTAATTACACATTTTCATTAATACCAGGTGGCCTGCACCTCACCAATAATGAACCAGATTTTGAAATATATCAAAGTGATTATTAAAACCACTTCCTCAATCTACCCAAGTCATTGTTCAAAAGTAAGAATGTCTGTATTCTGGGAACCTTCTTTAAATAGCATAAGATGCAGGATTACTATTGGGAGACTAATGCCCTAGTTATAGAGAACACAAAACAGAGTTTGGATATGTATAGGTTTTAAACAACACAGTCACTGCACGGTAGTCTGAATAATCTACACAAACTTCTCCACAGAGAATGCGAGAGGCCATGTAAGGTGACGTATGAAAGAAACTTCAAAAAGCTGTTTTTGTCTTCAGATAGCTCCCAAATGCAGTCCCTTCACTGTCAACCTTGGATACTCTAATGCATTAAAGAGACTTAAAGTAATGACAAACAAAAATTGAGAAACAAGCATTGGTGATATGTAGGATACGGATCTAGAATCTGAACCCAGATTCCAGCATCATGCTTCAGTCTATTCAACTGTGAACTGTTGAACACTCTTCCAATAATGAAGGCACACATACATTACAGAGCTACATTAGATGAAACACTATTACCAAAAACTTCCTCTTCTCCTTCCACTGTGCAGTGTATTTGCATCACAACTCTGGAGTTCTGTGTGTCTCTCACATTCCACTCTATGGTTTAGACATAAATTCATTAGACTCTTTGGGTAACCCTTTCCCTGTATTCTCATATAAATCACTACCTTATTCTTTCAGAATTTTCAGTTCATAAAACACATTGCGGGACTGTTCTGACAGGCCATGATATACAAACTCTTCCTTACAGTACAAGATACTAAATAATGCATCTAAGCAATAACAGATTTTTTTCTAATCAACACTGATTCAGGTAAAAGTCACCTGTGCATATTAAACCTACTATGTGGAAGTTTGATGAAAAATAGAATACCTGTATAGTTCCAAATTAATTATGAAGGAATGTTAACTATAGTGGAAAAGTCCAGTGGACACCAATCGAACCAAGAGATCAAAGTAATTCAAAGTGAGACAAAGTGACATTATTTGTCACCTGAGATGATTCACTAAGGAAGACTGAGAATACTGAATTATTTCTGCTCAAAATGAGTATCTTAAACCTTTTCATGAGGAAACACAAAATTCAAAATCTGAGGTATCTCCTTAAATCTGTTAGCTATTACTTTTTAAGAACACTGATGTGATCAAAGTCCAGGAAACTGTTTCAGATTAAACAAAACTAAAGAGACATGATAATTGAATGCAATAGAAGATCCTTTTCTGGATGTTGTAGAAGGGAAGAAACTGCTATAAAGAACACCTCTGGAAAAATGGGTAAAATGTGAATATGGACTGCATACTGTTATACTTTTATACTATTGACACATTTCATTATTTTGAAATTTTTACCGAAGTCAATATAAGATGCTCAGGCTCTTAGAAAGTAGATGTTGAAGTGTTTTGGGTTACAGGAAGATAATGTCGGCAAATCATTCAAATAGTACATAAAATGATAATGCTATGTATAAACATATAAAGGGAGGCGAGAGCAAGAAGAGGAAGTGGGGGAAGAACACAACGATGCAGAATAAAAAGTCAATCTAGGTGAAGCGTAAATCAGGTCGCTCTGCATGATTCTTGCGATTCTGAATCTAAAATTATTTCAAAAATACAAAGTCATAAAAACGCTGGTATAAGGTATACTTAGGGCGTTTATGAACTTCCAAGCGGATTTAGAAAATATTAATGATTTCTTGCTCAGATAAACAGGATTTTTGGGTAGAGTGAGGAAAAATGGGGTACTGCCTCCTTATCTTATAAATCACACATCATTATTTGATTCTTCTTTTAGCCACGGCCATTAATTGTTTAAGTCAGACTTATGTTAAAAATGCCATTTTCACCTATTAGATTGGCTAAAAATTTAAAGCTTTTTTTTTTTTTTGAGATGGAGTTTCGCTCATCACCCAGGCTGGAGTGTAGTGGTGCAATCTCGGCTCACTGCAACCTCCGCCTCCTGGGTTCAAGCAATTCTCCTGTCTTAGCCTCCCAAGTAGCTGGGATTACAGGTATATGCCACCACGCCCAGCTAATTTTTTGTATTTAGTGGAGATGGGATTTCACCATGTTGGTCAGGCTGGTCTGGAACTCCTGACCTCAGGTGATCCACCTGCCTAGGCCTCCCAAAGTGCTGGGATTACAGGCGTGAGCTACTGCGCCCGACCTCAAAAATTCTTAATACCTGTTGCACACAAGTTTTTATGAAAATTGGCACTTCCATTACAACACCGTTCTGTGGTGGCAGAGGACACCATTTTCAAGAGCAATTTCACAGCATCTAACTGAAACGAAACTGATGATCCAACAATGCCACAGCTAGACATTTATCCTGTAGAATTAGGAGACCAACTGCATTAGAATATATATATAGTGCAACATTATATGCAGCAACAAAACAAACAAAACATTAACCTGCTTTCCCAAAACAGAGAAATGGATTTACCTGTTGTAATACATACTTTACATCCCATAAAAAGTCTGTGGGTAAGCTATATTTATTGATTTAGAAACATGTCCATGCTGTATTAAAGAACCTTGAAATTTATAAAATAACATCTATCGTAATAATCACACATTTGTAAATGAATTCCACATAAACTTATGTAAGCTGAGAAAAGTTACTGACAACTACACTACAAACACTACTTATCAAACCTAGGAAGTAGGTATGGAAGGTAGTAGATAAATGACCACAGCTTGCTTCATATCACTGAGTGACTCACTCATTCTTGTTGGCTCTGTTTCAATGAACTAGTTGCCAAGCCTAAGTGAAAAGGAGATATAAAAGAATAAAAACACATAACCCTCAACCTGGCTTTAAGAGCCAAGAATTCAAAGGCTTAAAGCAGATTCTGCCCCATGTTTTAGTTTAACTTCCTACGTTGAGGGTTCAGAAAAATGACATGGGATGGAATACATCTTCTCGCTTCTGCCTTCCATGTATATCCACCTTCCCCAGGATCATAATAAACTTCTGCTGTAAGCCAGAGGTCAGAAATCTACAGCCTGTGGTCCAAATCTGGCCTAACACATGTTTTTGTAAATAAGTTTTACTAGAACACGGCCAAATTCATTTGTTTATGAATTGGTTATAGCCGATTTCACGTATAATGGCAATGTTGAGTAGTTACTACAGTATGGACTATATAGTCTGCTCTTTTACAAATTTTGCTACCTCTGTGTATTGTTATACAGACTACAAAACTCTGTATGATGTTTCATATAATGTAAAAGTGTGTGATTAGGACACTGATCTTCTTATAACCAGAACAGCATACTGAACTTGGAAAATATTAACACAAGAAATAGTATGAGATAAATTAACTTTGGAGAAGAGACAGAAGAGCACCTTCTGTCCAGGTAAAATAAATGAGCATTGCAAAAAGGAACACAAGTTCTACCTAAAAATCTAGCTGCCAATGAACAAAATAATATAGTATGAAAGGAGACACTAATGGCTGTACACGTATGAGATTTTTAAACCTTTAATCTTGTGTTGGTAGGATTAACTGACATCAAAGTGATTGATTATATAGTCTTAAAATTCTAGCAAGTGTTTGTTATTGCTAACACTGGTCTAGAGAGGTAATTAATATTACTGAATGCCTCCCATGTATAAACCTATCAAGACAGGTTGGGCAATATGGTGAGCAGTTCCCCAATGGACAGTGCAGCTTATGTTATAGAAGCAGACAATTAAAACACCAAATAAGCACTATTTTATATTAAGCCCGTTTAGGTTAAACAGAAAACAAAGGAAAACCAGGGTAACGTGGATAAAGGGGAAATCTCTTTGGTGCACTGAGATTTTTATTCCAGCCCCAAATAACACTAATGATACCAATAAAATGATTGTACAACATGTTCTACAAGATGAGATCACAAGGGCTCAAATGGCAGTGCAAGGGTCTCGCTCTCCCTTACACACTCAGTTGTCATGTCATCCAAGTTTGTGTACTTGGAAAGAGGTGAACTATAGTCAATCTCAGATCCTGATCTGCAATGAGATATACTAGGTCTAACAAAAAGGATACTACAGAAGGTCTAGTCCAGATAACACAAATGCTTAAGATTTCATTTGGGACTTGTCTAAAAACTGTGGGCTCCTGATTCAAATGAGGAAAAAAAGTATCTTACACATGGGGAAAAAAAATCACTGGCACACCAAGGCCCTCTGCTTCTGAGAAAGACTTGCCATCATCTGGACAGTGACTAACGTATCCATGGGGTTGAATTAATTATATTTACCATACACAAATCTCACTTCCATTCATAAAGTAAAATATAAATTTAAGAAATACAATGAGTTAATATACAAAAATAGAGGGAAGCATGAAATGTATTGAGAGTGCAGAGAAGTACATAAAAACATTCCAGGCAATTACTTGCGAAAAAGCAGGTCACTTCTATTCCTGGACGTACTTCTATAAAAGGTGTGCCCCTTTAGAAGCAAAGATGCAAGAAGATCCCAGAAAGAAGCAGTAACAACAGCATTTCGGTGATGCTGTAGATGGAACCACCATTTGTCTATGATCCTATTATCCACATGGTCACCACCTGAGAGAGTACAGAAGAAGAGATTGCAAATGGAAATAAACAACAGGTTATGACACAGCCATGCCTGGTGACAGAAATATATCATCTTCAAGTCAAGTAATACTCCATAAAACCGAACTCCTACAATCTGATGTGGAATAACCCAAAACCTACAAAAACCAGGTATACGTACTGTATGCAAATGATAAAGCTGCCATTTTCCTTCGTTTCTCTACACATTTTTTTGTGATTTGAATACCTATCTCCTATTCCAAATTATTTTCACGCCAACCAACCACCTATTTATTCTTTGAACCAGCATTTCCTGTGTAGTTTCTTCATTCTAATTTATACACCAATTCAGGGGTTAAGAATTTTTTTAAAAGACACAATATAAGGAAATACTAATAAGATACTCTGTGTATTCCATTAAGATCTTTCCACAAACTAAAACCCAGTATCCACCCATCAATTCTCCTTGCTACCCTGTATGCTTCTTGTGCAACTTCTCGTGGTACTAAAGTCAAGAAAATGCCTGATTTCATTAAATGTTGGTTATTAACAAGAGTTAACTATAAAGTCCTTGATTAAAATATCGACTCAAAATAATCACATAACCACAAAGTAGGATGTATGAGAAAAGAAATTTAATTTCAAAGAACTCAAATAAGAATCTAATATATCCTCAACGTAGCAAATAGAACAGCTTCAAAATCACAATATAGTCTTTAATGATTTTACCTGCAGGAAAGATGTCTTTGTCCTCCTTGACTATTGAAGATGCTTGTGAAAAAAAAGAAAAACAGGAATGTTGGAAAATAGTTGAAGATTTTTCATTCACTCATCGAAAGAAAGGGTGTTAAGACCCTACTTTTACCACTTCAATGTTGAAATATTCCTCAACTCCTATCTGCTGACCTTACCTACTTACTGATGATATCCTAAATCATGCACTTGGAACTAAAATTAAACCTGCTACTCTCATTATAACCCATACTATTTATAGTAAATTCTAATTCCTAATGACTTTGGTCTCTGACATCTTTTAATAGCCTATCCATTTTCTTTATTTTCCACAGGCTGCCAGACTTCCTTCTTATCTCCCTCTAGCTGATGAATTTATTCCAGAGCATTTATTCAATAAAATTTACTGAAATAATATAAAATTTACTGAGTATACAGATAAAAAGTTATAGTCTCAGTCCAGATGACATTACATACTACGGTGAGAGTAGATAAGACTGGTAAATCAAAACCTGCATAAACTACATATCAAAACTGTGTCAAAATTTAGGGAGCCCTTTTATCTCTTTTATTTCACCTAACTGATAATCACTCCACAAATTCACAACTTTGTGTTTTATAGAATTCATGTATAGTTTTGGATTTTAAAATATTACAAATTAGATTCAATATCAAACTGGTCAAAAATAAACAGTACACCAGGGTTACTGATTCTTACCAGCACTTTTGAAGAATGACGTCTACAAAAATAGTAAATAAGCACAATGATTTGGATTGATATGCAAATTTCAGTCAGTGAAGAAGTTCTCACTTCTTAAACTGGTACCACCTCAGCTATAACTGTGAAAAATATGGGAAAATTGTGACATACGACCAGTTAATATACAGAAGGTGAAGTTCTCTCATTCCTCAACCTCCTAAAGTCCCCAAATTATTAAAATATTGAAAGATCATTTTAATTAAACTAACTTGTGAACCCACTGCAGTTAGTTTTTGCTTATTTGCTAACACATCATGTTGAGAATGCAAAAACAAAACTTTTATAATTTCATAATGAATCTGCCCGTGAAAATATACCATTGGCTTTCAAATGTCCATCTTTCCAGTCAACTTTACATATATGACTTTATTATTGCATCAGCCCATTCTCATAGTCATCAAATTCCTGTACCATCACCTTGTGAATCAACCCATCTATCAGTCTATTAAGCCACTCTAAAGCCACCAAACAGGCAGCTATCACTTATGCAACCAATGTACCTGAACCCTGATCCCTACATTTATCCAAGGTTTTAGATAGCCATATTTGTACTCATCAATCTAAAGATCTATCCATACAGCATTCCATTTTTGATCCATCCAATGATAACACCTAGGCATATAACCATCTGCACCTTCACTAAATGATTCCACTGTGCATATAACCATACATACACCCAACAGGTTTTTAAAACCTGCATTCTCCATTCTTGCATCCAGCCATTTGCTCATATTCTACTTTCCATCTATTTCTTACATTATTCAATACACCCAATTTTGCATGCATCCGTTATTATATTTCAAATTATATTAGACGATTATTATATTCATCTTTCTGGGCTTTAAATATCCAATCCCACATAATTTCAATGACTAGTTATTAAATCCACATTAACCATATAATACAAAGAAAATTTCAGTAACCATTCTTGCATCCTTCCATCAACTCACATGTCTGCCTGTCTACTACTACTACCAAGCTTGAAAACACCAATCCAACCCTGCCTCCTTGAACGCACCTATCCACCAATCACTGAATTATTGTGTGTAACTTTCCCTCTGTACTCAGATTGAAGTCATGGCCACTTCAAAATTTTACTGGCTGAACACATCTACTTCTTACTAATGAAAATATTCCTGTGGGTCTGTTATGATGGCTCTCAGGGAAGCTTTGCTAAATATGACAGATTACTGTGCCAAGGGCATTCACCTCTTTTGAAAATTACATATCAACACATGGTTCTACGATCACCATGGTAAGATATAAGTTAGAATCACATATAGGCCACGAAACTCCTGTGCCCATGATGCACATAACACATTTTACATTTTTAATGGGTCACTTTTACTTCCAAAGAAACTAGAAGCCCATGATTAAGACTTAAAATATGAACAAACATCCTCCACAATGCCTATTTTAAAAATAATTAAGTAGGATAAGGGGATTGGGAAAGTGTGCCAGAGGTAAAAGCTACAGCCAAGGAAAACAAGGAAAAAGTGAGCATCTTCCAGGCCCTAGTAAAACACTCTCTAGCACAGTATAGGGAGCCTTCACAGTGTATTTCCAGAGGGATTTCAAAATTTCAATGGAAAAGTGATTTCTATCACATTTGACACCTTAGAGTTTGGAGTTGTATTATAGTTGCCCTGACTCTGCTCATTGTACATTGTACAAAAGGAAATAAGGTTCAATTATTATTTTTTTGAGATGGAGTCTCACCCTATTGCCCAGACTGGAGTGCAATGGCACGATCTCAGCTCACTGCAACCTCTGCCTCCCGGGTTCAAGCGATTCTCCTGCCTCAGCGTTCTGAGTAGCTGGTATTACAGGCACACACCACCACACCAGGGTGTGGTGTATTTTTAGTAGAGACAGGGTTTCACCATGTTAGCCAGGCTGGTCTTTAACTCCTGACGGTGTGATCTGCCCGCCTCAGCTTCCCAAAGTGCTGGGATTATAGGCATGAGCCACTACATGCAGCCAAGGTACAATTATCTTTAAGTTTCACCTATCTCTGGGCCAACAGTAGGTACACTGAGACTTAAGGTACAGATTACTGTGAATTACCTCATGATAGGGAGATAGCATCACTGAGACGCTGGATTTTTACCTGGGTGAGGTTTTTATTGGTTCCCACTGTGAAGGGGATAGTTTCCATTTAAGTAGAAAGTATACCTAGTTTGTGAGACCAGAAAGGTATCCTACAGTAGACACTATCAGTGTTTAACGTGTCCTTTTCATCCTTTCCTTGAGAAAACATAAAATACAGCTTCTAAATCTCCTGAAGTTTTGGAAAACCATGTGATTTACCCAATTCCTTTACCCAATTTACCATTACGTATTTAAGAGGCAATGGATGACTTTCCATAACTCTAACAAAGCCACAGTGAAAAATAAAACCTTATGCTGTCATAAAAGCAATAAGAGGTATTACTGTCTTTGTGACATCTGCCCATGAGTTACTGCCATGAGCACGCAGCATCCTTAACAGTCACTGTTGAACAGTTACTGTGAGAATCACATGATTACAATCATTACTGAGATTTGTTAATTATCCTTTCCTAAACTGACTTCATTCTTTCAAGCACATATCCGTCAAATTCATACATTCATACATTCATGTTTTTATTTTGCATTGTCAATATAGCTGTCCAAAGTTTTTGTCCTTACTACCCTTCCACTCTTGCATCAACCTATATACACATACACACACAAACATGCTTACATGCATACCACACTTCCTATTATATTTATTCTTGTTCCCTAATTCCATCAAAAATGCATTTCAGGGTCCATCCATCCATCAATCCACACATATAGTCCCATTTACGCATCATCTACTTGTGACTCCATTAATATTCCTGATCTCATACCCATTTATATACCCATTCCCGTTAATTTATCCATTCATGCTACTATTAATCCAATCATTCAATGAAGCAATTTGCCATTTATCAATTCCTCATTACCCAAGTGCTGACCAGCTGGCCAGGCAGAGCTCTGTACAGCTTGGAGTTTTACATAGTACCTTGGCTTAACTAAACTTTCTCATACTGCTGAAGATCCAATCAGCCTGTCCACAGGTCTAACTTCAAATACTCTTCATACCTTCTGACTTTACAATTGTTAAGCAGAATCTCAGGTTTCCTTTTTTTTTTTTTTTTTTTTCCAGGAGGAGTCTTGTTTTGTCACACAGGCTGGAGTGCAGTGGCACAATCTCATCTCACGGCAACCTCTGCCTTCTGGGTTCAAGTGATTCTCCTGCCTCAAGCCTCCCAAGTAGCTAGGATTACAGGCGTGCATCACCATACTCAGCTCATTTTTATATTTTTAATAGAGACAGGGTTTCGCCATGTTGACCAGGCTGGTCTTGACCTCCTGACCTCAGGTGATCCTCCCGCCTCAGCCTCCCAAAATGCTGGGATTACAGGCGTGAGGTACCATGCCTGGCCTCCTCCCGAGGAGTTTGCAACTTTGACCAAATACTTCAAAAGCTACCTCA
This sequence comes from Homo sapiens, assembly GCF_000001405.40. Lineage (NCBI taxonomy): Eukaryota > Metazoa > Chordata > Mammalia > Primates > Hominidae > Homo > Homo sapiens. The sequence goes on along the minus strand of NC_000015.10, from coordinate 25,015,604 downwards.
AATCCTTCCGAAGAAATTAACAGAAGAGAGGAGGCTGGGATTTATTTGGGAACTAACCGTGCTCTCATAGAGAAAGCTTCTTCACTCACTACTCCAAGTATTTAAAAATGCTATTTTCATATTAAAGGAACTTTACCAAGAACGTCTGTTCTTCTTCCTAAGATACTGCAAACCCCCTTCTTTGTGTTACTTATTACTCCACAATAAAACCCTATTTATTTCACAACTTATTAGCTCATGCAGCGTCCCATTTTGACAAAATTCTGTTGAAAGCCCAGTACAATTTCAGTTACCGCGCAGGGCACCATTAACAAAATGGTTATCTGTTATAGTGATGAATGCACCCTGAGCACCATATTGCCATTTTTACTTCCTGTAGCCGACTTCTCCCCTATTTCTACATTATATCCAAGACATTATCACATAGTGGTATACAAACATCCATCAATCCTTCTTACTGCTACATATTACTAGGAGATGAACTATGTATTTGCCACAGATATAAATTTACAAAATATTAAATTCCTACCCATATGGTTTACATTTTACATGCCCAGAAGCAACGTATGATTTTCCATAATTCCGAACATGTTGCCAAAAAAAAAAAAATGTTGTCAAACTTCTGGACTTTTGCTAGTCTAATAGTAGAGAAACTAATTATATCTTAGTTGTATTTTCAATTGTCATTATCCTTATTATGAGCAAACCCAAGAATCCTTTTATATGATTAACAGCACTTTGTGTATTTTTTTCAGTGAACTATGTGCTCAAGTCACTTTTCCTTTGAACTGGTATTTTTCCCCGATTATATCTTACACACCAAGGGTTTCACTCTTCTTATGTGATGTCACAACTTTTTCAACTCTGTAATTTCATTTTTACTATCAATCTTTGTGTTTCTTGTTGCTTCTACAATGTGTATCATCAGTAATTTCCTCAAAATTGGAGAGAAATTCGTTTTCTGAAACTCTATAATTTCTGCAGTTAATTTAAACCTCTGATTCATTTTAAATTCTTCATGCTACATACCATGAAGATGAATCTAATTCTTTATTCATTTGGCTAACAATCTGCCCCCATGAATGCAGATTAACTTTAATACACTTTCTGTTTCTCATGTCAACTTATGGGTCTTCCATTCCATGACATTACTTTGCTTATAAATGTGCCATTAACATAACTCTAATTACATACAAGATTTTGTAAGTCTGTGATACCCGATCAAGTCACCTTCCTCATTCCCAATCTTTACAACGTCTTTGTAATTTTTTTCTCACAACAAAAGTGACAATCAAAACGTCTAGCTGTAGGAAAAATGCCTTTTAAAAAAAGATGAAATTATAAATTGACTCATAATAAAGAACAAAATTCTTCTATGTCATCCAGATTTTCCCTGAGGAACTAGAACACCCTGGAATATGTATACACTCCCATAAATAAATATATTGAATACAAAAAATAAGGCAGTTCCAAGCAACCAGTTACCGCAAAATGATTAAACAAATTGTTGTTCAAAGCGACATAATGACTAAAAATATACTGGTTTCTTTACTTGATTTGTATCTATTTTACCGTCAATTGCTAGTGCATTCCCTCTTAAGAAACATGAAAATAAATACATTCATTGTATCTCTACTCCTTTGTACTAAGACATCATGTATTCCTCTTTAGATAGGTCTTATGATGGATGTTGTGGCCAACTCTTTAAAACATACAACTAATTGATAATGAGCTTTTGCCTTTAATACAAAACAGACAAACAATACATACAAATATAGTTTAAGCTGACAATTGCGAATGTGTTCTAACAGGTATGGAGCTAGAATCTGAGCACTATAATCACTACAATGGGATACTCTGATAACCTTCCCTTCCATCTTTTATGAAGTCAACACTAAACCTGTAAAATATGGAATTACGTTTTTCTTTTTTTGGGGGGGTGGGGTGGGGAAACAGGGTCTCGCTATATTGCCCAGGCAAGTCCCAAACTCCTGGGCTCAAGCTATCCTCCTGCCTCTGGCTCCCTAAGAACTTGGATTACAGGCGTAAGCCACTTTTTCTTGGAGGAGAGGGGAAGGGAGGTGATGGAATTTCTCTATGTTTATTACTTTTTCCCATACATGCTGTTTTATTTTCCAAAGTATAAATGTGCTACTTTTATAATCAGGGAAGAATTACTAAATGTTCAATCATTAGATACCTGAGTTATAATATTTTTCTCTTTTTGTCAGGGAAGAATTACTAAATGTTCAATCATTAGATACCCGAGTTATAATTATTTTTGTTTTTTTTGGCAGAGTGAATACTGTAATTACATAATTTCATAATACTTTTTACCTACACAAATACAAAACAAACAGTAATGGTTTCTACACAAAATAGTATTATGAAATAAAAAGCTTCCAAATGTTACTTGAATGGAAACTGAATAGCCTTTTATATTTCAATATTTAAATAGGAAAACATTTACCTCACACTCATATCCCCTCTTCCCTTCAAATCATATTCCTTATGGAGGCTCACACCTCTCTAATTCTAGCACTTTGGGAAGCCGAGGCAGGTGGATCACCTGAGGTCAGGAGTTCAAGACCAGCCTGGCCAACATGGTGAAACCCTGTCTCTACTAAGAATATAAAAATTAGCTGGGCATGGTGGTACATGCTTAAAATCCCAGCTACTTGGGAGGCTGAGGTGGGATGATGGCTTGAACCCTGGTGTCAGAGGCTACAGTGAGCCAAGATTGTGCCACTGCATTCCAGTCTGGGGAAGAGAGTCAGACTCCATCTCAAATAAATAAATATAAATAAATACATAAGTAAATAAGTACACACAACTGGGATAAAAATAAATTTTATGGGCCGGGCGTGGTAGCTCATGCCTGTAATCCTAACACTTTGGGAGGCTGAGGCGGGCAAATCACCTGAGGTCAGGAGTTTGAGACTAGCCTGACCAACATACGAAACTCTGACTCTACTAAAAATAAAAAAATTAGCCGGGCGTGGTGGCACTTATCTGTAATCCCAGCTGCTTGGGAGGCTGGGCAGGAGAATCGCTTGCAACCGGGAGCTGGAGGTTGTGGTGATGCGAGATCGTGCCATTGCACTCCAGCCTGTGCAACAAGAGCAAAACTCCATCTCAAAAATAAAATAAAATATAAAATATAAAATATAAAATAAAAAATAAATGTTATGTCCGGGTGTGGAGGCTCATGCCTATAATTCCAGTAGTATGAGAGGCCAAGGCAGGTTAATCACTTGAGCTCAGTAGTTCAAGACCAGCCTGGCCAACATGGTGAAAACCTGACCCTACTAAAAAATATATACATAGACATTAGTCAGATGTGGTGGTGCACGCCTGTAGTCCCAGCTACTTGGGAGGCTGAGGCAGGAGAATCACTTGAACCTGGGAGGTGGAGGCTGTGAGCTGACATCATGCCTCTGCACTCCAGCCTGGGCGACAGAGTGAGACCCTGTCTCAGATAAATAAATTTTATAAAGCATAACACAGCCAAACTACAAGCTACAGAGATTGTACATACATTTGAATAAACATGAAATAGAAAAATAATTACAAATATATATTACCTGTTATATTCTACCATGTGTTTACATGCAGAAACTGTTTTTTAATTATGCTATTAGCATTATCACCTTTAAAATATAACTTCAAATATTCAAATCTCCTGAAAATGCTTTCTGTCTTCTGAATAAAGAACATGAATTTAAAAACTAGTCACCTTTGAAGATTACTTGCACATCAATTCATTATTATATAAATGGTAAGATAAGGGAAAAAACATTTATTTACCTTTCCTTTTGAACTGAAATCCCAAAAAAGTTGATTAAGTTCCTATTTAAATGAAGAACTTATCATTCAGAGTAAATTTACTGATACTTAGAGCAAATGTATAACTATTAGTGAAATGAGAGACTATTGTGTTTTTGTAAAAAGCAGGTGATAAAATACTTAATGATTCTCAATATCACAAAATATATATGAAAATATCATGATAAATTAGTGTTCTTCTGTTTTACAAAAGGTGTTCATATAATAAATGGCTGAATTAATGATTTGATAAAACTAGTCAGACAAAAAATCAGATCTTGAGAATATAATACATTGAGAAAAATGTCTCAATGTTGAATATTTTTTTAAAAAAATGATAGAAAATATTAAACACCGAAACACTGAGAAAAAACTATTAAACATGACCACAGGGGTGGCATCCTACTATGGGCACAATGTAGAAATGTGAAAGTTTTATATCGCAAATAACTCATTTCCTCAAAGAGAAAACAGCAAGAAACAAATATTAAAAACCAAGAGCTCAAAGATTAACCAATCAAATGAAATGTAATGCATAATTCTTCTGGTGCTCATTTAAACATACATAAGACAGAGTGGAGTAAGATTTATCAAAAAGATTTCATAGATGGTACTACCTCCTTTGTAATATACATTAAGTAATTTTTAGTTGTTAATAATTTTTACCAGATAGCATGAGGATTAGGCTTAAAAGGACTGGTATCTCCAAACCTTAATATAAAATACATTGAGAAGAAATCACAAAAGAAAACCAGCAATTAGTTGATATTTACTGGGTAAGAGATGACTTTTTTTCAAAAAATCAAAGTACGTTATCAGATTATATTTGCAAAACTTTTAAGAAATTTCATTAGCATGATCTCATGAAAAACTGAAAGCATGACCAGGTCAGGACACCATATTAATGGGAAAAATAACATCAAAGACTAAAAATGTCTCTAATATAATGACAAATATAGAAATATGTAACAAGTTTATAGCAGACCTTGCCAACTATTACTTATGAAGATCTACACATGTAAGGTAATATACCTAATATACCTTTCCAAGCACCCCTTACAAATATGGACTGTACTTTTGTTATACAAGAATTCAGACTATGTATTGTGTATACACAATATATATTTTGGACCACAGTAGCTCACCAAAACTCATTCAGAATACTAAAAATAAAGGGTAGAATCAATCCCCCCAAAAAAACCAGCAAATAAGAAATCCAGTAGAATATGAAAGTTACTTCTAAATAATGTTTTTAATTCAAGATTTTTTTAAAAATTACTTAAATATAGAACCAAAAAAGGGTTGACTTTCATACCTTAATTAAGAGAGATTTAAGATTGAATATAAATTAATACAGTCAAGACTAACATAAAAATAGCCTAGATAAAAGTGAATTACTCACTTGGATCCAGATTTGCTCAAAAAACTGTTGTATCATTCGCACAACTGAGAATTTTTTATATTTTTGAGCCAATGTTTCACTCTGTTACCCAGCCTGGAGTTCAGTGTTGTGATTGTAGCCTACTGCTTAAGTGATCCTCCTGCTTCAGCTTCTGAAATAATTGGGTTCACAAGTGCATGCCACCATACCTCATTTTTTTTTTTTCCTGTGAAAACAGGTTTCACTATTTGCCTACGCTCATCTGGAACTCCTGGGCTCAAGCAAAATGCCTTGGCCTCCAAAAATGCTATGATTGCAGGCTTGAGACACCATGCACAACCTTGAGAAATTTAAATGAGAATTGTTTTTTCTTTGTGTGTTTAGAAGACACATAAGGGATTTTAGTAAATTTTACTAGGTAGAGATAGGATATTGTGATTATTTTAAAAATTGATACATAAAAATATAAACCTATTCAGGATTAAATCACCATGGTAACTGTAATTTTCAAAATATGGCAAAATGTTCATAGTTATTAACTCTAGTTGCTAGATATGAGAAGGTTCATTATTCAGTTCTCATTTTTGGTGACTTCAATTTCTCATAATAAATAACAAATATTTCCTCAAAAAGTGAGTTCATTAAATTACCACATAACTCAGCAATTTCATTCCCCTATATACATAATCAGATACGAAGACATGAACTCAGATATTTGTATGCCAATGCTCACTCAAATATTAATGGACATATTTTTAAATGTATTCATCTCTTAATGGACACTGTGAATGTTTTGGTGAGCACTGGCATATAAAATGTCCATTAGCAGAGGAATAGATTTAAAATTCTATCCATTAGCAGATGGATAAAAATTGTGTTATATGTGTATACACACACACTCATGTATACACACATGTATACATACACAAAATGGATTTACTCGGTCATAATAAGAAATGAAGTTCTCATGTATTACATGAAACTTGAAAGCATTAGGTAAAATAGGCCAGGAACCAAAAAACACATGCTATGTGATTCAACTTGTAAGAAATACCTACAATAGGCAAAATCAAATGCAGAAAACATGATTGGGGAGACAAGGGACTAGGGATTAGAGTAACAGGTATAGAGTTTCCAATTAAGATGACAAAAGTTTTGAATATGGTGTTAGTTACACAACACTGTGAGTGCATTTAATGCTAATGAGTAGTACAATTAAATCTGGTTAATATGGCAAATTTTATGTGATGCATAAACTATCACAACTGAAAAGCAACAAAATTATAGAACACAACTTTCATTGATAATCAGAAAGTATAAATGGGCAGATTCATTTCACTACTGTAAAACAAGCTGGGCACAGTGACTCACGCCTAGAATCCCAGGACGTTGTGAGGCTGAGACTGGGGGAATGCTTGAGTGCAGAACTCCGAGATGAGGCTATGCAATGTAGTAAGACCCCATCTCTTTAAAAAAGAAACATTATTCGGGCATGTCCATAGTCCCAGCTACTCAGAAGGCTGAGGCAAGAGGGTCCCTTGGGCCCAACAAGTCGAGGCTGCAGTGAGCTATGATAGTGCCACTGCACTACAGCCTGGGAGACAGAATGAGAAACTGTATCCATACAAAAACAAAACAAACAAACTAAAAAACTGGTGAGCTGAGGATTCTGGGAGTATGGCAGAGCAGGACGCAACAGAACTCTTTCTCCCCCTGAGATGATAAATACACCAGAATAATCGGTATGATATAACTGGTTTGGAACTCTGGAGGATTGTATTAACCCTAAATTCAGATTTATTGAGGTTAATTTCACTCAACATCAACTCTTAGCAAAGTACAAATTACCTATCCCTAACTCCTACACCCTCACGCAAGGTAGCTGTACACATTTCTTGGACAACTTACATACAGCTTGCAGAAGGAGTGATGGTAGGCATAAACAAAAAACAAAACACACCACTCTGTTATACAAACATTGAGAGGCTGTGCTCTCATCAGTTTACCACTTCTGATCTCAAAGATGGTAAGACAGGTAAGCAGCTTTTAAAACAACTGTCTTAAAGTTGCTCAAAGAACTAAAGGAAGTGATAGAGAAGGTTAAGAAAATGATGCATGAGCAAAATGGAAGGATCAATAATCAAAAATAAAAAAACTTTCAAAAAGGAACCCCAAATGAAATTCTGGAACATGAAACATTCAATTAACTGAAATGAAAAATTTTCTACAGGGATTCAAATGCATTATCTCAGCAGGCAACAAAAAAGATCAGCAAACTTCAGAATTTTATCAATTCTGAGGAACAAAAAGAAAAAATATTGAAGAAAGGTAAGAGTCTAAACAGCTTCTGGTCCACCACCCAAGCTAACCAATACAAACGATGCAGGATTCCCAGAAAAGAGAAAGCATGCAATAGAAAGAATATCTGAAGAAATTCTAGATGGAAACTTCTCAAATTTGATGAAAGACATGAATTCTAACATCTAAGAACCTCAACAAACTCCAAGCAAGATGAACTCAAAGACCCACAATGAGACACAATATCTTTCAACTATGAAGAGCAAAAGAGAAAGAATTCTGAAAGCAACAATAGAAAAACGATATCATGTAACAGGGATTATCAGTCAATTTCTCATAAGGCCAGAAGGTAGTGGACTGACACATTCAATGTGCTAAAAAAAAAAAAATACTCAACTAAGAATCTAATATCCAACAAAACTGTTAATTAAAAAGTAAGGGAGAAATTGATACGTTCCCAGATGTACAAACAACAGGAGTTTGTTTACATTAGATCTGCTCCCCCACCAAACAGAAACACTGAAAAGACTCCTGAAGGTTGAAATAAATAGTAAATGGAAGCCCTATAAAGAAATAAAGATGTGGTTAAAGGTAAATAATTGAGCAATTATGAGAGGTTAATAATGGTGTACTGTCCCTCCACTTGTTTTTCATTATGAAACAGGCTCTGATTCTGTTGCACAGGCTAAAATGCAGTGGCATCATCATGGCTCACCGTAGCCTCAACCTTCAGGGATCAAGAGACCCTTGCATCTCAGCTTCCTGAGTATCTGGGACTACAGGAATATGCCACCATACCCAGCTATTTTTTGTTGTTAAAATTTGTTTTGTAGAGACAGCCTCTTGCTATGTTGCACAGGCTGGTCTCAAACTCCTGGTCTCAAGCAATCCTCCTTCCTTAGCCTCCCAAAGTGCTGGGTATTACAGGCATGAGCTACTATGCCCAGCCTGTTGCCTTTTTTAGATTCTACATGACTTGAATTGATCAATTATAAAACCACACATTAGGCAAAAAACCAGTAAATATTATTGTAACTTTGATTATAACTCTACAAGTTATCTTCTAAAAAATTTAACAAAAAATAAATTTTACAAAATATATTTTGGGCCGGGTGTGGTGGCTCAAGCCTGTAATCCCAGCACTTTGGGAGGCCGAGGCGGGCGGATCACAAGGTCAGGAGATCAAGATCATCCTGGCTAACATGGTGAAACCCCGTCTCTACTAAAAATACAAAAAAATTAGCCAGGCGTGGTGGCGAGCACCTGTAGTCCCAGCTACTCGGGAGGCTAAGGAAGGAGAATGGCATGAACCCTGGAGGCGGATCTTGCAGTGAGCCCAGATCACGCCACTGCACTCCAGCCTGGGTGACAGAGCAAGACTCCATCTCAAATATATATATATATTTTGATACACAATGTTAAACATATAATTTTGTAGCATCAACTGAAAGGGGTAGGAGAGAAGGTGTTACAGAAGCAGTTATTTTGTAGACTGCTTAAGTCAGACAAAACAGACTTTTAATCCAAAATGTTACAACAAACAAAAATGTACATTATACATTAATAAAAATTACAAGATAAAGATGACCAACATTTATGATCCTAGTAAACCATCAAAATATATGAAACAAAAATTGACATAAAAGAAGGGAGAAATAGACATTTCCTCACTAAGAAATATAGACTTCAAGAACCTACTCTCAATGATGGGTAGAATAACCAGAAAACAAGAAAATAGAGGTGTGGGCCAGGTGTGGTGGCTCACGCCTGTAATCCCAGCACTTTGGGAGGCCGAGGCAGGTGGATCACAAGGTCAGGAGTTTGAGACCACCCTGGCCAACATGGCAAAACCCTGTCTCTACCAAAAATACAAAAATTAACCAGGTGTGGTGGCAGGCACCTGTAATCCCAGCCACTTGGGAGGCTGAGGCAGGAGACTCGCCTGAATCTGGGAGGCAGAGGTTGCAGTGAGCCGAGATCACACCACTGCACTCCAGCCTGGGGGATAGAGCCAGACTCTGTCTCACCCCTCACCCCACAAAAAAAGAGAAAATAGAAGTGTGTAATATCACAATAAATCAATTATATCTAACAGATATGCACACAACAATCTCTGAACAACAAAATGCACACTCCCCTTCAAGTGCATGAGATATTTTTCACAACAAATGTAGTTAATTCACAAATTCAGTCTCAATAAATTTTGAAAAAACAGACAGAAAAAGAAGCCTCTTCTCTGACCACAGCAAGACAATGAATTTAGAAATCAGTAACAGAAGGAAAGCCTTGGAAAAGTCACACATTTGTGGACATGAGAAAACACAAACAACTAGTACACCAAGAGGTTATAAGGAAAATTAGAAAATATGTGGGAATGAATGAAAATGAAAATAAAACATGTTTTCTTATGAATCTTACACCTATTAATGTAACATGAAAAAAAATTTCAAATCAACCAACTGTACAAATTAAAGAATTACACAAGCAAAGTAAACACAAAGAGGAAAAGGAAGGACATAAAGAATGATATAGAGATGAATAAAACAGAAAATGAACACAAAATAACCACTTGGTTCTTCATAAACAAAAATCAAGAAAACTGACAAAGCTTCAGCTAAGTGGACTAGAAAAAAAGAGGGCAGACTCAAATTGCTACCATCAGAAACATAAAGTCTACAGAACTAAGAGATTGTAAGAGTACTATAAGCAAGTGAATGTTAAAAAATTAGATAATCTAGATGAAATGTACAAATTCCTACAAACCTAGGAAACTAAAGGCCACCAAAACAAAACCACACGCATGAAACTATTAACAGTACTGAATTATTAATGAAAAATCTTCCGGTCAGGCGCAGTGGCTCACACCTGTAAACCCAGCACTCTGGGAGGCTGAGGCGGGCGAATCACAAGGTCAGGAGATCGAGACCATCCTGCCTAACATGGTGAAACCCCATCTCTACTTAATATACACAAAATTAGCCGGGTGTGGTGGCGGGCACCTGTAGTCCCAGCTACTTGGGAGGCTGAGGCAGGAGAATGGCGTGAACCCGGGAGGTGGAGCTTGCAGTGAGCAGAGATCGCGCCACTGCACTCCAGCCTGGGGCGACAGAGCGTGACTCAGTCTCAAAAAAAAAAAAAAAAAAAATCTTCCATCAAATAAATACTTATATAACAAATAACAAGTGTTTTCAAACTTTTCTAAGAAATTCAAGGAGGAAACACTCCCCAACACATTTTATGGGGCCAGCATTACCCTCTTACCAAAGCAAGACAAAGACTAAGGAATAAAAAATTCAACATTCATCAAATTAGGAATAGATGAAATCACATCACCATAGTAAAAGCTATAAATGAAAAACTCAAAACAAACATTATTCTCAAAGGTTAAACACTAAAAGGATTTCCTCTAGTATCAGTTACAAAAGCAAGGATGCCTGCTTTCGCCACTTCTTTTCAACACAGTATTACAAATCCTTGCCACAGCAATCAAGTAACAAAAAGAAAGAAATGACACCCAAGTCAGAAAAGAAGTAGAAGTATCTCTCTTGGCATCCACTAAAATTTTATAGGCTGGTCGGGCACAGTGACTCACACCTGTAATTGCAGCACTTTTGGAGGCCAAGGGAGGAGGATCACTTGAGCTCAGGAGTTCGAGACCAGCCTGGCCAACACGATGAAACCCCATCTCTACTAAAAACACAAAAATTAGCCAGGCGTGGTGGCAGACACGTGTAATCCCACCTACTCAGGAGGCTGAGGCAGGAGAATTGTTCAAACCTGGGAGATAGTGCCATTGCACTCCAGCCTGGGCAACAGTGAGACTATGTCTCCAAAAAAATTATTACGGGCTAAAATTTTCCTTGGGAGCATAAAAAAAAATCTCAGAACTGATAAATTCCACAAAATACCAGGCTACAAATTCAGCATGCAAAAATAGCAATGAACAATTCACAAAAGAAGTTCAAAGAACAATTCCACTTGCAATAGCATTTTAAAAATACAATACTTAGAAAGTAACTTAACCAGTAAGATCAAAGAAAATTTTTTGTACAATGAAATTTACAAACCATTTCTGAAAGAAATAAATGACATAAATAAAAAGACATCCCATGTTCATGGACTGGAAGAGTTAGTATTGTTTATGTCAATAATACTCATGCAATGTGCAGACTCAATCCCTAGTAAACTTCCCATGACATTTTTTGCAAAAATTAAAAAAAAAATCCTAAAACTCATACAGAGTTTCAAAGGACTGAAATGAGCAAAATAAACCTGAAAAAGAACAAAGGTGGAAGAGTCACAGTTCTCAATTTCAAAATGTTAACTACAAAGCTACAATTATCAAAACAGTGTGATATTGGCATAAAGAAAAACACAAAGAACAAGGAAACAGAAAAAAGGGTTCCAAAAAACACATGCTTGCATAAATGCTTAGTTGATTTTGGACAAAAGATAAATAACTTTAAAAAAAAAAACACGCTATTATTTCAACACCTTTTTAAGCCAACATTTCAAAATAATTAAAGAAAAATATTACTTGTTTCTAGTCTGTGTCAGAAATACTCAAAATGGTTTCAAAGAGCCAGTAAAACATTAAAAACCTCTGATAACAGAACAAGTATAAAGCTGTTTGTTTAGGAATCATTTCAGAAATTCCAAATGAAATTATAACAACTATAATTAAGGAGTATATACTAAAATATAATTTACTTCATTCATGGGATGGAATAATGTTCAATTTTGGAATATGTTAATTTTAACCTTAATAATTATAAGGACAAGTTTTTCAACTATACAAAAAGAAATTTTATTAAACCTGTCACCAAATTTGGTAAAACATCTTTCTTCTAAAAGATTACTAAAATACCAATAAGAACAAAAACAACCATGACCTAAGGGGATTGCAATTAACAGTCCAATTGCCAAGTATACTTTCTACTTCCATATATCCTAGAAGTACTTACAAATGTACTTTAATCAAGGTAATTAAAATGACAGATTGTTCAAGAAAGTCATAATTTTAGAAATTCAGTAAAGATTACTAGAAAAGACATACAAAAAGTTTTCACATACCAATTAGACAAGTTGAATGACTAATCCAAATCACTAAATTAACAAATAACTAAAAAATGCCTAGTATTAAAAAATACTTTAAAAAACTGCACTAGCAATATCCCCAAATTATTATTCCATTAAAAATAGAAAGACCTACCTTGCAGTTGGACAGAAGACTCAATTTTAAAGATATCTATTCTCTCCTAATTAATCTATTAAATTTGTTGCAAATGAAATTAATACTGCATTTTTTTCCAACTTGCAAAAATAATTGTAAGCGTCAATTGATAGAAAAAAATGCAAGTATACAGAGGGAATATTCTGAAAAAGAAGAGAAATGAGATAGAACTCAATGGAATAGATAAGACAGTATAAATCATTAGTAATTATTAAAGTGTCAATAAAATGGTAAGGCAAGTTAACAGAAATGTAGCCAATTTTACCTGGAAATTTTCTTTATGGTAGAACTTAACAGATAACTACACGGGTCAAAGTGAGTACTTTAAATATTTAATGCATTCATTAACACCAGAATGATGATTAATGGAAAAAGAAATGACAAACTAACTGCTGAAATAGAAGGCAATACAAATAAATGATACCAATGTAAACATGTTTTAAAAAACCACAAAACTCCAAAGTCATAAAACAGAACAAGATTATATTTCAATATACAACTTCTGTATAACCAAAAAATAAAACACCATAGTAAAATGAATGAGAAAAAACATATTTGCAATTCTAGACAAAATGTTAACATGTTTAATCATAAATGAACTCTTCAGAAATCAGTACAAAGAGACTAACATTACAAGGGAAGTGAAAATAAAAGGAACAGAGGAAAATGGAATAGCACAAATGAGTTATAAGGCTATATGAAGATGATGTAGTTAACATTAATAGCTGATAAAGCAATTTCATTATAAATTATATTATCGATCCTTACAAATATTGATTATCTGATGTTTGTACAGCTTTAGGAAATAAAGAATACTCAAATACTGTGGAAACTTACTAGAGTCATGGGGAGTTTACTCAAAAATGTAGATTTTTGTATAAACTTGGCCCCAGCAGTTCCAAACCACAGGAATCTGTCCAACAAAGTAATTAGACACACACCCACACACATACACATACATGTTTACTACATAGAAAATGTATAAGTAATGTATCATCCCCCAAAAACTACTTATGTTATCAACTGGTTTATAAAAAATTGGCTGTGGGGTAGAAGCAGAGAAAAGGCACTTAAGTAAAAATACTACATTTCACAAAATTCTATGTCCTTTGAATTCTTATGAAACATTTTTAATGAATCAATTTTATATTTACCCTGTGATTAGTGAAAATTATAAATATATGCACTTCATACTTATGAAAGCACTGAGATGAAGCCCTTTAAGTTCCACTATCCTGATTTCTTTGTTCAATAATGTCTGTCATTCCAGCTCCTGAGATATGATCCAACAGCAACCATGAAAACAATCATCGTGCCTACTTAAAATTCACTTCAATGACACTCTTTAGGTCACTTTCCAAAAGTGAGTTTTCTCAGTTTTTTACATCTGCAAGGAGTGTCCACTGAAACAAACATGAAGAATGTCTCCATACGTCATAAAAAGCATTTTTAGATTTTGGTGAAAATGATGGTACAAATAGTGGCACAGTTTCCCTTTTTCAGTCATCACCTGAGAGACACAGTTGGGAAAATGGGAAAAGGTTAGAAGCAAAGTTTATATCATCAGCAAGAACTAATAAAATTTGTCTGTAAAATGACATGCAACATTCATTCTATTATGAAGAAAGAGCATGTGGATCAAAATTCCTTTTGGAGTATTCTAATAATAAAGGAGGTCAGATGTTAGCTCTTTCCTTCTTTTTTGTTGTTGTTGTTGTTTGTTTTTCTTGAGATGGAGTTTCACTCTTGTTGCCCAGGCTGGAGTGCAATGGTGTGATCTTGGCTCACTGCAATCTTCACCTCCCGGGTTCAAGCGATTCTCCTGCCTCAGCCTCCCAAGTAGCTGGGATTACACTACCACACCCAGCTAATTTTGTATTCTTAGTAGAGACGGGGTTTCACCATGTTGGTCAGGCTGTTCTTGAACTCTTGACCTCAAGTGACCGACACACCCACCTCGGCCTCGTGCTGGGATTACAGGCAGGAGCCACCGCGCCCAGCCTCTTTCCTATGTCTTGTGAAAAACTGACCTCTCCCACATTATCCACACGTCTCTGTATTTGGATTCCTTTACCTCTAGGTCACTTGTTCACATACAGAATTATTACCTGCAGTATACATGCATTTATGCACAATATACATGACAACAATGCCTAAATATTTAAATGATAATAACAAAAGGAGTTCAGTCTATTTGATGAGAAAGAAATAGTAACTATACTAAAAACACAGAAGCTACAATGAAACTTTGGAGAGGATACAATTCCTAAACTGTCCTGGGCATGGTCAGACCAACAGAATCCATGGACATAACAATATTGTTTATGCCCCTGTTTCAGGATAATTTATTACATAGCAATATGTAACCAATCAGATCTGAATGTCAAGTAGCTGCCAGAAAAAAACATCAAGCTTATGAAAAACAGAATATATCAAGTCCTGTCTAACCAAACCGCCCCTCTCCCAGTCAAGTTAGCACTCAACTGCCCTTACAATCATATTGCTGAGGGAACGAAGAACACTTCAATGAAAGCACTGCAACAGGTCATTCACTGATGGTAGGTACCATTCTTGAGATTAAAAACAAAGACGATAAAATGTTCCTTCTTGGAACTATCATCTCCTGACAAGGAAAAAGAAGAAACACTGTAAGGTGAGATATATACCACTCTAATGAAACAGCTAAGGCGGCAGGTTAAGTGAATGCTCATGTTGAACTTTATTACAGGTTATGTTAACATTTAGAAACACTTCCCATTATCAATCCTATAGCAAAGTCAACTTACAACCTCAGTAATGACTTTAATAGTTTACAGTATCAGCATCTTTCTGTGGTTTCCATGAACTTCACCCTTTATCAAAGAACTGTATGTGAAAACATTTTGTGAAAACTGTACATTTATGAAAACACACATATTGTCAATTTTATAATTTCTAGTAATTAGATGCCTGGTCATTTCTTTTATTAGTTATATTGTCGTGTTTGACCATAGATAAGTAAACTAATTAAAGGTACTCTCATCTGTGTGTGCGCGCGCACCTGTGGCAGGCCAGGTCCCTCTAATGGAGGCCTCCATAACAACTGTTTCAGTATTGACGGAGTGGTTAAGTTAAATACTAAAAGCTGAAAGAGCCATTTTGTTATACAAAGGTTGGAATGTCACAAAAGCCCACCAAGTTTTACCTAGGCCTCTCTTGAACCTTAAAGCACGATTAAACAAGTTTTATTAGGGGTCTGAAGAAACTCTCCAGGCCTCCACAAACAAGTTTATTGGGGGTTCTAAAGGAACTCCCCAAACCTCCATGATTTAGTAGGAAACAAGATAATGGTAATCACCTCAGCACCCAGACCCATTTAAATTAATGTAAATTTACTGAGGCTCCAAAGGAAGGTCTCGAAGACTCAGACCTTAGTTATAGATCACTTATGTCTTTAGATACACACTTACATGTACACATATAGCTTAGAAGGTATATAAGTTCTGAAAAACTTTGTAATTTTGAGTTGGTGTGGTGACAATTTCCAGGCCTTCTTCCTGTAACTAGCTCTAACTCTTCCTCCCCTGTTCATCTGCATCTCATTATTGGGGCACGAGAAATAGCAGCCCGACCCTCAGTTTGGTCTGGGAACCAAACTATACCTTCACTTCGATAAAATATATTTTAAAGACTAACTCATTTGATAATTCCAAGGTGGCCAAGAAATACACCTGTACCAGTATTATTTTCCTGAGCTTAGGCAAAACCTCACCAATACCTCACCCCCAAATAGCACCAGAACCTTCTTACCTATGTTTGCAGTTAACTTGTAAATTAAGGGACTCCATGAGAAAGGGATGTTCCTGATGATTCCATTTGCAGGTCAGCTGCAAATCAATTTTTCACTCATCCTGATTGCCTAAGAAAAACAGTATCCAATACAGAAACATTTAGATACAAATCAGGCACCTGAACATACCCATTAGGATAATTTTAGGCTAGCCAGGCATAGTGAATAGAGAAAATCAAGTTCAACCAGCAACCATTTCACTTTCTCACCAACTTTAAACCACACCTTTTAGAAAGATGCAGAGAATATTTAAAATTTCCCCTGCTAATTTTGAATGATCTATAAATCCCCAAAGGCCTACTTTAAACCCATCAGAGACTCAACCACTTTAAAAGGAAAGAAGCAATCTGTTTTCAGTTTATACCAAATTAATGAAGGATAACTTCCAACTTATCCCAAGAGACACCTCCTCTAACATCTTGATCTAGTCAGTACCCACAAATACAGCATCGCCAGTATTAAAATGTACTCTCCTTATAGAATGAATGTTTCAGTTACTATTTTCTTTCACTCATCTGTTTCTCAAACGAAATTTCACTGTTTGACACCTACCTCAAATTCCATCCTCTGCTTCTTTCCTTAGGTAATCCAATACTCTGTTTCATGGTAGTCGCTGCATTAATGTCTAAAGCACATGCTCTTTGTGAGATCAATCAAAAACCATTCATAATGGCTGTTGGGAATAAGAAGTTGAATACAACAGCCCATTGTTCCTAGGATGTTGAATGTCAAGGATGAAGACAGGCACAAAGTGGTTGTCTCTAAAATTTCCTGTTGTTTAAATGTTCATTTTGAAATAGCTTTTGAAAATTTCAGATACAGAAAGTAGAAGTAGTCGTTCTATTCTCCTTTCACTATACAGGACTGTTAAAAGTCTGTCATGTCCTTCCAAAGAATTTTCATGTGAATCATATTCTTCCTAGATTTTTGTCATGTAGCAATATACAAATATGTACTTATCAATCTTTTGATTTTAACTCATGTGTTACAATTTCAAACAGTATATTATATCACCATTATCACCACGCTGAAGTATTAAATGTCAGAATGACAAGCCCCACGTATAATTCATATTTTTAGACTTAACTATTAATATTTTAGTTAGAAAAACTTGAGACATATGCACAGACACCTGTAAACAACTACTTGTTCACTGAAAAATGATATAAAATATCAATTTAGGACTACAAAACATATTCCATATAGAAATTTTTTACTGTTAGAATTACATTCATGTTAAAGAAGCTATCATCATTGCAATCTTTGATTTATTGACAGATACCTCAGATAGTTATGATTTTACAGCCAACCTATATTTGGTAAATTTTCGAGAACTGGAATAGATAAAAACCCCAGTAGCCAGCTATAACATTTCAAAACTTTTACATAGTATCAATTTGATTGTCATTGCCAAACTGCTGCTTAAAAAGACACACAATTTATACTTTTGATCAATACTGGATAGAATCTTTATAAAAATTTTCCTAATTTACACCGTAAGTAAACTTGAAATCTATCTGATTATCACATATCTGATAGTTTTTAAAAGTTATCAAAAAGTAAAAAATATTCATAACCACAGTTTTTCTATACTCATATAAATATGGAAAGAGGTTAGAAAAGAAAATGTTTACAGACCTGCTTATTATTTAACGAAAAATCAGCATACATTTAGATGTAACAGTAAGTGGAATTCTAGAAATATCTGCAAGCTTAGAAATAAAACACTAGTTCCACAATTTTTTTAATTTTTTTTTTTATACAGAGTTTTGCTCTTGTTGCCTAGGGTGGAGTGCAATGGTGCAATCTCGGCTCACTGCAACCTCCACCTCCAGGGTTCAAGCAATTCTCCTGTCTCAGCCTCCCGAGTAGCTGGGATTACAGGCATCTACCACCATGCCCAGCTAATTTTTGTAGTTTTAGTAGAGACGGGGGGGTTCACCATGTTGGCCAGGCTGGTCTCGAACTCCTGACCCTCAGGTGATCCACCCGCCTCAGCCTCCCAAAGTGCTGGGATTACAGGCATGAGCCACCATGCCCAGCCACTGGTTCCACAATTTTTTAAATGAAAATAAAACACAAATCAGTACACGAATGAAAGATTAATACCCCTGAGATAGATCTATGCCACTAAATTTAGACATGCATGTGAATATATACTTATGATATACATGAATATGCATTTAAATAAATTTGCAAAGAGTACAAATAACAAAAGAACAATTATTTAAATAATCTTCTAACACTCAATATATCTATCTAATTTACAATGACCATTCCCTTCTCCTGTCTTCCTCTATCTTTCTAAGGATAAAATATCCAGGGGGTTTTGTTTGTTTCATATTAGTATAAGATGCACAAAAACCCCACAATGGTTATTTTTCTTATACAAGAGACCTGAATGTTTAAAAGATATGGAGGCAATCTATTGCTCTGTCTCAAAACATACAAACACCAAAACGTTACAGTCAGTCCCAAGAGGCCAATTATTGATTACCTATTGTACTACTGAACACTTGAAGGAGTCAATTTATGATATTTTACAATGAAATATTTACAAATTTATACTTTGCTGAGACTTCATGCATCTAGCAAACCTAGAGCTTTAGAAAATGTCATTTTTATCTGTTATTCAAAGTGTTTTTTGAATGTTGCCATGCAGTCCAAGTAAATACAAAACTGTGTAATTCAGAGGTAGAAGAAATATTTCCTTATAAAAGACATTTCCTACAATGACTATAGAAGTATATTTATATAATGCCCTATCAACAATGTAACTAAAAAATTAAGACTGAAGTTTTCAATATATAACAGAAGCACTAAACAATGGTTAAAATATATTTTCTTTCTGATTACAATTCAAAGTTGAAAATACATTCTTTCAACTTTTTCCTTACACTAAACAACCCAATAAAGAGATACCAAAATATGTATAGGTCAAGAAGCCCAAAATTTTATCAAGTTCTTTGCCAAGACATTTGCAAAACACAATGAAACCATGAAATTTTACAATGACTTATTTACAAAATTATACTTTGTGAGACTCTATACATCTAGAAAGACTAGATGTTAAAAATTAAAATTTTTTATCTATTATTTACAAAGTTGTCTTGAATATTGTCATGCAACCAAGGGAACACATACAGAATATTGTATAGTTCCTAGAGGTAGTAGAAAATCTCTTTAATGAAGTCATTTATATCTTGAATATTAACAGGAAATAAAAATTATGATATCAAGAAGTGTATCTGGAAAGACTAAATGCATTTACATGACATTTAATCTAAGTTTTTTAAAAAAAGCAATTCATATCTGATATAATGGTAAGCTATATAATAACAGGTAAAATGTAGAGAGTCTCTTTTCATTTCCTCCTTCTAATATCCAAATTAAAACACGATAAATTTTGTTTAGCTCCAAGAGCCTGTGTATCAATAATCAATTTCATTGCCACATTAATTGCAAAAGACAACAGTACTAACAAATTTACAACAAGATACTTAAAAAATCTACTTCGTGAGACTCTCTATACATCTAGAAATACTAGATGTTCAAAATTAAATATTTCATTTGCTGATTATTTACTAAATTGTCTTGGTTACTGTCATGCCACAAATGAACACAGAACCATATAATTTAAAGATTCTATAGTATATGCTTAAGAATGAATTGCATCATGAACCTCAGTACATCAAAGAAAATAAGATATACCTTTTTTTTTTTGAGAGGGAGTCTCACTCTGTCGCCCAGGCTGGAGTGCAGTGGCGCGATCTTGGCTCACTGCAACTTCTGCCTCCTGGGTTCAAGCTATTCTTCTGCCTCAGACTGCCGAGTAGCTGGGATTACAGATGTGCACTACCACGGCCGGCTAGTTTTTGTATTTTTAGTAGAGACGGGGTTTCACCATATTGGCCAGGCTGGTTTCGAACTCCTGACCTCGTGATCTGGCCCCTTCGGCCTCCCAAAGTGCTGGGATTACAGGCGTGAGCCTCCGCACCCGGCCAAGATATACCATTCAATGTAGAGATTATTCTTACATGAAACTGACCCAAACAATTTAATAAAAATTAATTTTTACTTTTAAATCAAAATGTGGGGGAGGGAACCACTCTCCCTCTCTAACATGACAGCATATATACATTTAATATATAAGCTTAAATATGTGCAAGTAATTTGTCTTTTACAATCCCAGCAACACAATGAAGACTAAGCAAAGGGGAAAGAACAATCTATCAACAAAAGAAAAATGTCTCTATCCTCTTTATCAACAAACTACATATTTACAAAGTTGAAATGTTATAGAACAACTATGATAAACACAGATATTTAATAGTAAACCCAAGAAAGCCACCCACACAGAGCTCTTAAAATCATTTGCAGGGTTAAGCATAGTTTAACAAAGTGATGCTTGCAATATATGCACGTCCACACTGTCTATAAAACAAAAAAAAAGCTAAAGAGGATTGTACAGTTGTCTAGTGATATCCATCGGGGATTTGTACCTGTACCGTACCCCCATACCAAAATCGGTGCATCCTCAACTCCCTTAGCTCTTCAGAACCCATGGTTATGAAAATGAGGTGCTCTTTACTCGGGTTTCAGATTCTGCCAATGCTGTACTTTCCAGCTGCATGTGCTTGCAGATGCAAAACCCGCAGATAGGAGGGTTGACATGACAACTGTACGTCACAGAGATGAAATGACAAAGTATTCAACATCCTTCTCCAAGTGCTTCCCAACAAACAAGTGAATCAAGAAGCTAATGCCTATATTAATAAAAATACTCTGATTTTTACATACATATGTATCAGCAATGTCTACATATTAATATATAACGAATAGGTATTTTAAAGATATAACCTGACTGTACACACAGCAATCTAAAAATCCCACTCTACCACACAGGTTTGGTATGCCATTTCACTTCAACAAACATAAAAAGCTTCTGCCCTATAGTTTTAAGTAAAATATATCCACCAAATACAACAAATTTCTGCACATCTGTAAAGGTAGATGACATATTATACATGGACACAACTAACAATCAAATAAACCTCTACATACACACCAAATTTTTTTTAAAAATAAAGGTTAACACTTCTATTAGCAAAAGATTGTTTTCACCATATTTTAACATTCATATATTCTGTATGTTCATATATGTGCATGGTGGGTGTTTCTACATACCTAGGAAATTCAGATGTTATTCAAGACGCTTATCTATTATTCATACAGCAGTTAAATGGTCTCCAGCTCTATCCAGGCACCCAACAGCCCAATAAACACAGGAAGGGACAAGCCACCGATTAGGTTGGAATAAGAAAAAATAATACAAAAATGTACATTTTTATATAAAAATTGTTTAGACAAAGACAATCTCATTTTTTAGAACTCCAGAACCCAAAACAAAACCAAGAAAACCCTCAAAATCAAACCTCACAAGCACACAAAGATGCTAACTCTATTGGCAACAATGATTCTACTTTTGAATAAAAATATATTTCCAAAAATATGACAGAAATTGTATATTAAAATATTTTTGTAATATTTATCTTCTAGATACAATTATATATTCTGCATCAACCAAATAAATCCCATTTAAACATGGCATAGCAATTCTACTGATCAAACTAAAGTGTTTATGCCCTTGTCTAGTGGTTTACTGGTCACAATATACGCCTATTAGTAATCTGTATGCAGATGCTAAAAAGCAAAAGGTAACATTTTTCTACTATACATTTAGCAGCCATACAGTATCTCTGGCAACTTAAGAATATTTCTATCCTATGACAATAAATGTTGTTTATACAGTGATATGTATTTATATATAAACCTGCATACACACAAATATACGTGTTGGCAATTCCTACAAATCAAAGACTAAACAATTAAAGCAAAACAATTATATATTGTGACTGTCTTATACACATGTAACAAAATTCCCCTTCAGCTGCTCATTTACACACACAAATAATCTGCCTATGTGAGGGAGGAAACAAAAGCTTTCACTACATATGTATGTATTTATCTATCTATCTATATAGATAGATATATAGATATGTGTTTACGTGTGTGTATATATATTTAGAACCATGCAGACATAATAGCTCCTATGCTTTAAAAAACATATAACCATGTATATTGTATACACATAAGGGTTCCATTATCACCCAATGATCTAATGAACTCAGGTTTCACATCCCATTGCTAGTATCCCCATAAAAACTTATAAAATGCCTCTACAGATAGAAACATTTTAAATCAAAAACAACTCACTATTATGAAAGTCACATATTTTTGGCAAATGAGAACTTTTCTAACCTATGCTATTTGACTCATGTGGCAATTTTTCTGTTGTATAAAAAACTGCATATACACATCTGAAAACTATAAACAAAGGCAGACCGACATTTATGATGACATTTCCACCATGTTGCATCTATCAGAAAAACAGTCACATATATATTTATAGAGATATACAGTATTATACTACAAATTGTAAGAACATTTCTATTATATCTACCACAACCTAAAAATTAAGCCCAATGATCCAGTGAACAGTTTGCTTTTTGCAAGCAAAACTGGTTCTATCCCCTATGAATTAAAAATGACATCTATACATTTAGAAAAATAGATGTTAAAAATATTTAGCATATCCACCAGCAATCAATTAATGTTTAGGGGCAATTTAATGAATTAATGTTCTGAGAGGTGATTTAACACTCCCACTAGCAAAAGGAAAGTAGTCTACCTGTTTACAATGTAATGTTAACATATAGGTAAGACCACCACCACCATCTTCACGTGGATTTAGGTCTGGAGGCCCTGCAACATATGCTCATGTGCACACAGGGCTCCAACACCCCACCCTCTTATCTCCTAAATCCACATCTAATATTTGCCTAATACTAACAAAGCCATCTAAGAGTCTAAACACTCCTATCAGTAACCAATGACATCATTGTGTAACAATTTAATGTCCCCCAAAATGCAAAATGTCAGCCATCTCTATGCTGGTTAAGATTCAGTAACACAATCCTGTCGGTTATATACACAAAGTAATACAAATCCCACCCAACCCTTAACATGTAAGTGTTCTAGAGGCTGGCCTTTTTGGCAATTCCATCATGAAAAGAAAATCTTACACCACGTAAATTTTAACAGAAAGACCACTGACAAAATAACATCCACATCCATGACTTTCATACATAAAGCAGCATTAATAAAACTTCTTAGTTAGAAGTTGTATACATTAAGTTCCCCCAGAAAAACATCCATAGCAATATAAACCAAAATAAAAGGATTTTTAATATACATCAGAGGTACTTTAACAATTATATTTCTAAAATCATTTCTTAAAATGTTTCTACATACTTCAGCAAACTAATTGTTAGCAATATCTATGTACCAAGAAAATGTCATAAAACAATTATTTAGAAACTTCAAACACTGTATCCTCAAATGCACATAAACAAAATGCCTTTTTTTCTAATTAACGCTTCCCATGTCATTTTCTATTACCCTTATGCACTCAAAAAGTGAATACAGAATTGTGTATATCTTTAAAAGGTGACCTGAGAATTCCTTTCTAACAACTGTTCCAGAATAAAATTCTAGCAAATAGAAGCTTCCCCAGGAAACCAGTTATTTAGCCACAGCAACTACATTAACAAGCTTAACAGATTCATGTTCAAAATCTAAGTGTTTGCTTTTAACTAATTACATTCCAAGATTATGCAAAAAAATACAACTATTACACATTTAATTTCACTGTCTGGCTTACCTAAGGCACAATGAACAATTCATACACATTTATCATTCAATGTGTATCTTACATTCTCATTTCAATACTATTATCTAAACATAATTTTCCCACATATTTAAACAAACTCGTAAGCTAAATGTCCACGAAAAAAAGTTTATATTATTTGAATATTTGGAGCTCTTTCACAATGCTAGCAGGAGTTGGGGAATGATGTCCTTATTGCATGTGCACACAAGTATATCATGTGCAGGGCTTTTACTGGTAAATCTTCCAAAGGCGAGTGGACTCTCCATAGCAAGAAAAAAAATATTATTGGTTGATGAAGTTCAGGCAAGTATCAATCTATCTTTCTTTCTTCCAAGGTTTTCTAGCTGATGAGGCATGTAGCTGAATTCAACATGTTATCCTTCCCCTTCTATCCATATATTCCTGCAGGGTTGGCTTGTCAACTTGAGTTTGTACAGACTACCCAAAATATTTCAAGTTTTATATATTTGAAATGTTTCTCAATTCAGTAGATAATTCTTTATGCACCTGCCACGCTGTGACTCAGACGGCATTCTGGGGATGAATCCGGATTGAGAGTTGCTGTTCTGATGTTGTAAGGAGCACACAAATAGAGTAGATCTGGACTATGGCTCTACAGAGGACCCTGGCCAAAGACCCTTTAAGGCAGACATCTCCAAGGGGGGTTAGACTTCCACCGCAATCTAGAAATAAAAATGCTCCAGAAGAATCTGTAAACTACAGTTTTCTCCATGCTGGGGTGGTCACTCAGACTACTCACTCCTGTTGATGTATTTCAGTGAAAAAATGGTTCATAAATCTACCCTAAATCATATGTTGCAATCAGTGTTTGTTGCTGCAAAAATTTCTGAAAATTTTTAAGGATGAGAGGATTAGAGTGAGGGAATGCCACAAAATATACAAATCCAAATGTTTGGTGTCCACAAGTGGGTGGTTTCCAGTGTTTATTGTGGCAAAAGATGTTCTAAATATTATAAACGTATGCAATCGTTGTCCTCTTCCTTGATTATTGCTCATTTCTAAAACTCTTGAAACATGACAACTGCTTATTTATTAAGAAAACCTGAGAAGGTTTGTCTTGTTTTCCCCAAATCAGCTCTGCCAGATAGATGAACTAAAGAACCTGAGGTTAGCAGCAAGGGGAACAGTTGAAAGTATGTGAATACAGTTAAGATGACAGAGCCCTCACAGGGAAGAGTAACTTCAAATCAGTTCTCTAATGGGGTGAACAGTATCTTTTGTACAGTAAGTTTCTAAAGGAAATAATCCTGGTCCATCTTTTTTAAGCTGCAATTTAGCCCATGAATGAAAGCTGTTTCCTTGCTCCTTAGCTGGCATTTCCTTTATACGTCTCTTCAGAATTGACAGTCGAATGTATCACAGTGATCTTAAAAAGATGTTTCTGAATGTAAATGAGTTTGAAATATTTCACAAATTTACTTTCTGCTTATTTTCTTGTTCAATTATCTGTTCATGATTTGTCCATTTTCAGAACAATTTTTCAAGCCTTTTTGTTCACAGAGTTGTAGATCATATTTATGTACACTACAGGAATCAACAGAGTAAATAACCAATATATTTTGCCAACCCAAATATAATAGATGCATTTACATTTATTTTTATGTTGTGAACTACTCTTAACACACCAACAAGTACACCCTCTTATCCTCTCCAACAGCAATGACCTCTTGATTTCCAACAGGTTTGCTCAAAGGACAAGTTCACGTGAACACATGCTTTTTTTTTTTTAACCTGGAATATTTATTCTCCAGTGAGCTAGCCTGAAGCAGGTGGAGGCATCCAATAAAATACAACCTTAAGGAACTACCTTTTCTATTTTTAACAAACCCCGAGTCAGAAATCTGGCAATATCTTAGGAACCTCTCTACTTGATGAAACAGACAACTTTAATTTAAAGCAAGACAGTATGTCCCAATTCCCTACTCTCAGCTATGTGGTACAATGAAATGCCCTTGTTCTTGACCTAAACCCTAAAAAAGAATGGAGGAAAAAAAATCAGGGTGAAACTGACGGCCATACTTTGCCTGTACTCTACTAGAGGGCAAATTTGTTATACTTTCTTCATTCATATATTGACTCTACCAATGACTGTGGTAACAACATACCAATGAAGCAAAAATTGGCTATCCATCAAACACATACTAGATGTTAATTATTACACTAGGCCTTGAAGACAAAGCAGTAAAAAGTACAGTCAAGGCATCTGATAAACCGTTAATGTTTCTTTCTCCCTATAAGGGAAAAATATCAAAAAAGTCAGTCTATTTAGCCTTTTGGAACCATATTTCCAAATTCTGCTATGTACTCATCTTGGACAAATGAAAAGCATTATTTCAGTAAGTCAAAGCTTTTAAAGAAGGTATCATCATTGTGACTTAAAACAATTTCTAAAGGATGGATTTTTTGGGTTTTGTTGCTACCTTGACATCATTGCCGAAGGCTGTAATTCACTCAGTAGATAAAACACCCAGTCTACCTAAAATGTGAAGCCACGGTATCCAGCCATGCTCACTAGAGTTACACATTATACAATTGACATTAAAACAGAAAGTACAATGTCCCAAATTTGTTGCCACCCTCCAAAATAATTTCAATAATTCCTAGGCCATATACATTTTCAAATCCTCTGTAATTTCTTCTCATTTTATTCAGTCCAACCCAAAGAAGTCTGCTTGTTTGAAGTCTGGGTTTCTTGTTCAGTTGCTGTATCACAGAGAATGACTGATTTGATCTGAATATATCCATATTCTTCACCACTTCCAAACCTGGAGGAGTCTCAACTGAAGTGGCTAATTTTACAGTTTTTAAGTAAAAGAGAACAGCCTATTCCCAAAGAGAATCATCATTGGAAAACAGTACTAAATTTCAAGAAACAACTATAGCCACTGGAATGCCAACCTGTATGTTGAAATTTCCCAAACCCAACATATGTAAGTCCACCAGAAGCAGATGCTTAAAATCAAACAATAAATAAATAAAACAAGTTATAAAGAGTTCAGTAATTAACATTAAACACAAACAGGATTACCTTTCCTTCCTCCAAAAGGGTAGGTATTAGGCAGAAATTACCACACTATATTCATTGAGATCATACCTGCTCTTAAAATGTTATTTTTTTAATCTACTGTTTTCAGGAATTTTGTCTTCTTTTACCCAAAGTGAATTTATATGGACTGAATTTAGAAATGGCTGAATTTACTCAAATTTAATTTAATTTAGATTCAAATGAGTATAGTTGATTCACTGCTAGGAAAATTATCAAAAATAAGCTCGTTTCCTCATATCACGTAGATAATTTAAATTTATATTAGAAATGTATTATTTTAAGTGATATATGTCTGTATTTCCAGGAAATTATGAAGTGTTTACGTCCTCCCATGCATTTGAACACATTGGCTACAAATAGTCATTCCTATTAATAATAACCTTGCAAGAAAAAAATATATGGTATTCTACATTGATTTACATTATTACATAAGACAACTTTCAAGATTCCCTGGTCATGATCACATTTTAAAATATGCGATAACATGATGTATCATTGCTTTTTCCATATCAGTGTACATTAAAAGACATATAATAGCACTCTAAGTATGGTTCCTAGATCTGTAGCATCTAGAAACTTGATAAAAATCAACTTCTCATACTTATACCTAATAAGCCAGAAACACTAAGGTCAGGACCCAGTAAACTGTGTTTAAAAAGCCCTCAGGTGATTCTTATCCACACTAAATTTAAACAAATCACTGACTAACCAAGGCTATCTAGAAATACCATCCTTTATTCATTCTAATAATTTATCAAGAAAAGACATTTAATCAGCACACTTCGCTAATTAAAACAATCTCAGTGAAAGACAATATTACCTATTTATGGTCACCTCAAGAAAAGGTATAGAAGCTAACATGGGAAAGGTAGCTGACATTCTTTATCTGAAGTAAAACAGAAACTTACATGTTAAATGATAATTCTGACTCCTAACATACACCACCTATTGTTCCACAATTCAAACCATGCAAGTTTTCCTTATTTCCAACAAATGAAACAATCATAACATTACTCTCAATTTACCTGTCTCCCTTCATACAACTCAGGAACATGTTCCAACCACATTAAAATTTGCTTATTTGTTTTCCTCCTACTACTCATTAATGCAATTTGCCATCTTCTGCTAACTCATTCCTTCCACTACTCTCAGCAAATTACTTTGATCATGAATTAGCAAGGCTGGACCTCACGCTCCCTTTGCAGGAATGGAAAGTGTCATCCAATTCAAGAAATAATGATTCTCATCATTAAGCCAACCCTCCTCCTACCACTCCACCAAAACACACACACACACACACGTGCACACACGCACACACGTGCACACACGCACATACACGTGTCATCTCTTCCAGAGATTCTTATTTTCAGGGGATTTATTTTAAGTCATCTGTGAAGTATCACCCCACAAATGAGGTTGTTTGGATGGGCTGGGCCAGCAACTACCACTGCATTCTCTAAGTTGCACCAAACATCTGAAGGTAAAAGACCCCCTGTCAACACTACACCTCAACATATCTGGCACTAATTCCCTATTTTTCTCACTTAACTGCTTATTTCTAATCTAATTCAGTTAGTAGGAAAGGAAAAACTCATTTTTCTCAATTCATCCAACATATCGCTAACTGCCTGGATCAAGAACACTAAGAGAACCAAACAAATCTGAGAGGTTATAAATACACTAACATTTCTACCAGAAGAACAGAGACTCAAAGGCAAGAACTATAAAATAACTTATCTACCTCACTTTTAGAAGAATGTTCATTTCTCTGAACCCCAACAGCTTTTCACTATAAACCAGTCATTTGTCATGTGATCACAGTATCAACACCCACATCATTAATATGTACATATGTATACACAAACACATAACACATACAGAATTTATCAACTAAGATAACAACTAGAGAATAAGATCTTGCTATATTCAATGTTCATGGTATATTTAATATAGGCTTTTCTAAATTACCTTCTTATTCACCATTCCTCCTTCATAATAACGACTTATAGGCAAAGCAAAAGCACCTACTCATAGAATGTCAATCACAGATAATGAAAGACCCATCAATCATACAAGCAAAAAATAGAGTACAGAATAATGTGAGATTAGAGATGTGATTCAAAAATTGCATGGTGTTTAGCAAATCTTTTAATCTCCGTGGGGCTCAGCATCAAAAACTATATAATGCCAATTTCATCACCTTAACTGAATCTAAGAGTCAAAATTAAATCTCCACCTACGTCTTGTAAAGATACAGCAAAGGGTTAACTTAATTAAAAGTAGAATTAAATTAATCTCTGGAAATGTAACTTAAGCATTCTGCTAAATATATAAATTACGTCTCCTCTCAAACCAATGTCTCAGCCACAAACTAGCAATTTCTCAATTATATGCCAAATGGAGAAGCTGCCTCAGTGACAGAAACATGCTCATGAAACTTTCATATAGGGTTGGAACCGGGTGATGCAAGCAACAGGGTTAAAAAAAAAAAGAGCATAGGAGCTCCTAAGTACTTATTCTCTTGAAATGATCACTTGAAATGCATAGTAGAAATAAGCAAAGGTGTGGCTGGGTACGGTGGCTCACGCATGTAATCCCAGCACTTTGTGGGGCTGAGGCGGGTGGATCACTTAGAGACCAACCTGGCAAACATGGCAAAGCCTGTCTCCACAAAAGCATACAAAAATTAGCCGGGCATGTTGGCACATGCTTGTAATCCCAGCTACTCTGGAGGCTGAGACAAGAAGTGCTTGAATGCAAGAGGCGGAGGTTGCGGTGAGCCAAGATCATGCCAAAGATGAGACATACCAATGCAGTGAACATAGAACACACTCTACAAAACATTAACTGTACTAAAGGATCTAGAACCAACTTCCTTGTATTGCACTGGAAAAACCTACAACACGCCATTATCCTTAACCTGTACTGATAGGAAAAACCATGTGAAATTTAGAGTCTAAGAATTTATGTTTTGAGTATTTGTATCCTGAGTCCTTAGACTGACAGTAAGGCTGGACTTCAGAGTAATCACGTTGAGCTTTACTTCATCATGCTCAGTAAACACAGCTCATCACAAATCCAGCCCAGGTCTTTCCCAATGTCTTTCCCATCAACTAGTAAAAATACGTAAAAAAATAAATTCCTGCAGATAGTGTATCTCTACCCATAAGGACAGTCCCTGGCCTGGAAGAATAAATGATAAGAGTTTTATGTGACAATGGATATAAAACAACAGTAACAACAACAGTGTCATTCAAAGCACACAGAATTAAGGGGAATTATGAAGAAAAAGACACACACAGCAATCTACATGAAGGAAACAAACGCGGGCGCGCATACACACACACACACACACACACACACACACACACACACAGAGAGAGAGAGAGAGAGAGAGAGAGACAGCAATCTGCCAGTCGGGTCTCACAGAGCTAAATACAATGACTATTTCCACTAGCAAACTGTCCAAAGAACTGAAACAGAAATACACTAATGCCACCACAGATACTATCGACAACTTGCTATTCTCCCCAATAATTAAATGTAAACCAATTTTAGGACTAGAGTACACTGAAAACATGCATCAAAAAATTCTAGAGTTAAGTGTAAACAAATGGTATAGAAAGACAGAGGACAGACAAATAAAATCAAGGCTGGCACAACGTAAGAAACACAAAGTCCAAAGAAAGGATTCTGAAGGAGGTCTAAACTACTAACTTCTCTGACAAGAAACCAAAGTAGCACAGTAATGCAATCCAGATTTTCTCATGAGAACCCACACTATTATTCCTGAT
This sequence comes from Homo sapiens, assembly GCF_000001405.40. Taxonomy (NCBI): domain Eukaryota; kingdom Metazoa; phylum Chordata; class Mammalia; order Primates; family Hominidae; genus Homo; species Homo sapiens. The sequence goes on along the minus strand of NC_000015.10, from coordinate 24,984,385 downwards.
ACATATCTCCGAAACATGAAATCATAGATTTCAGGAACTGTATCATTTCAACTCAATTTTTGCTACCAAAGAACAAATGATGTAACATAAAATGAAAATATCTATACAAACAAAACATCCAAAAGACAGGAAACAGCCCGAACAATTCAGATGTACAACCTAACCCTCAAGGTCACTGTATTCTCATTAGTTCAACAGAAAATGATTCACATTAACTAAACATCAAGTTCAAATGTGAGCCTCCTTCTTGATTCTTGGGCACTTAGTATGGACCTCGCTTTTTAAGTTGAATCGGCTCAGCAAAGCAAATTAACCCAGCCAAGTTTTTCCTACTAATCATTTCTACACTGTACTAGTTCTTAAAACTCATGGGCAAGCAGGCATTGTGAAAAAGGATTCCAGTGACCCACACAGATGATACTGAAAGTGGAAGAGCTAGAAGAACTGTTTCTCCATGTCTGCAACCCCCTTCTTATTGTACAACCACCTGATCCCTTTATCAACATATACTTCTACAACATTCCCCACCTCTTTACTTTATATTGGCTTAATAAATACATCCTTTGAACTTTATATCTCATTTTTTTCTTTTTTTTTCCAGACGGAGTCTCACTCTGTCACCCAGGCTGGAGTGCAGTGGCATGGTCTCGGCTCACTGCAACCTTTGCCGCCCAGGTTCAAGTGATTCTCCTGCCTCAGCCTCCTGAGTAGCTGGGATTACAGACACACACCACCAAGCTTGGGTAATTTTTGTATCTTTGAGACAGGGTATTGCTATGTTGGCCAGGCTAGTCTCAAACTCCTGATGTCAGGTGATCCACCCAACTCAGCCTCCCAAAGTGCTGGGATTACAGGCTTGAGCCACCATACCTGGTCTCAAATATTTCTATTGAATTAAATGTTCCCCATCTCACCATGCAAGAGAGGACTTCTCACTCCTGTAAACTCAAATAGCAGTTGCTGATTTCTATTTTTTTTTTTTACCTTGAGATGGGAGTCTCACCTCTGTCACTCAAGCTGAATGGAGTGCCATTGGCGCGATCTCGGCTCACTGCAACCTCCGCCTCCCGGGTTCAAGCAATTCTCCTGCCTTAGCCTCCTGCGTAGTTGGGATTACAGGTGCCTGCCACCACGCCAGGCTAATTTTTGTATTTTTAGTAGAGGTAGGGTTTCGCCATGTTGGCCAGGCTGGGCTCGAACTCCTGACCTCAGGTGATCCACCCGCCTCAACCTCCCAAAGTGCCGGGATTACAGGCATTTTAACAACAACCAAATAACCCCAAAACCATACCCAAAAATACACTGTAAATATCATCGCAAGGTAGTAAACAAGTGCTGGTAAACACTAAGTAACTCAAATGACCTCTATCTGGGAATGGCTGACTACACGGTATAAACGTATGGAGTCAGATATCAGATAGGCCTAGATTCTGATGAGATATTGTCATAAGGAAGTAACTATAAAATACCTAAAAACTTGTTTTCTAACATAAAAAAAATTAGTACCTGGCACAGTGGCTCACACCTACAATACCAGCTGAGGCAAGAGGATGGCATGAGGCCAGGAGTTCAAGACCAGTCTAAGCAACATAGTGAGATCCCAACTCTAAAAAAATTAGAAAACTAAAATTAGCCAGGCATGTTGACACGCGACTGTAGTCCCAGCTACTCTGGAGGATAAGGTGAAAGGATCGTTTGAGCTCAGGTGTTCAAGGCTGCAGTGAGTTATGTTAATGCCACTGAACTCCAGCCTGGACTGTGAGATACTGTCTCACTATACAAAAATTAGCAATGCTGCCTCATTCATTCACTTAATATTTCTTAAACATCTATTGTGTGATAGGCTCTGTACAAGTTAATCAACTGCACACAGCTGAAGAAAAAAGAAAAAAAAGCAACTGTCCTAAAAAACCAACAGTATTCATTTAAAGGCAGGTACTATACTCACTGTGTTCCATAATATATGCTCCATAAATATTATTCCTCCTCCTTCCTGGACATCACTTAGAACCCTAGAACTCTGGCACTTTTTTTTTTTAATCCGAGAGGTGGTCGTCTCATTTTTACACATCCTTGTTTCCATCTCACCAAATGCCTCTGCCTTCCGTGATCCAAGGATAAGTTTCCTTTTAGCTTTCGACAACGTACAACATGTAGAAAAAAAAAGGAACTCAGAATATCTATACAAATAAAAAAGGGTATCTGAGCAACTAGCAAAGTGCAATACTACACCTGCCATTTTTAAGTATTCAAAGTTTTCAAAACATTTTCTGCAGAAAATCTTGAAATCGAAAAGTCTAGTGAGGCACACTGACTGGATTTCAGAGTGTCATTTTTAAGCTCAAATTTTGAAATCATTATGTTCAGACAAGGTCCTGTGTCATCATGAACCTAGCCAAGGCCTCTGCAATATATGCTTATTTCTCTTTATAAGGTTATTTTACCTGAGCAGTTTACGTTTCTGTCCTAAAAGCACTTAATATGATTTTCAGCCTCGTTGTGACACTACTGAGTAGGATCCACACTGACGACACATCAAATTTTAGCGATCTGATTCTCTCTTCCTTTCAGAGGCATCAACTAAGTGGTCAAAAAATGGTATCGTATGACACTGAAAAAGTTACAACACAAATATCCTATTTCAGGCTCAGATGTCATTCTCCCACTACAAAAATCCCATGAAAATATACCTTGCTTTATTATATACTAAGCATTATTATGTGTATGGACAAGATGAAGAGAACTGAAATGCAATTATAAGACAGAATCAAGCAATGTATTAACTACCGGAAAACATGCATTTAAAAACTTCAACCCATGGCGGGGTGCGGTGGCTCACACCTGTAATCCCAGCACTTCGGGAGGCTGAGTTGGGCGGATCACCTGAGGTCAGGAGTTTGAGACCAACCTGGCCAACATGGTGAAACCCTGTCTCTACCAAAAATACAAAAATTAGCCAGGTGTGGTGGCCCACACCTGTAATCCCAGCTACTCAGGAGGCTGAGGCAGGAGAATCGCTTCAGCCCGGAAGGCAGAGGCTAAAGTGAGCCAAGATCACACCACTGTACTCCAGCTTGCGCAACAGAGTGAGACTCTGTCTCAAATAAATAAATAAATAAATCAAAACTTCAATCCATGGATTATAACTGACTACCTGCTGAAATCAGTGAAGGTAGTATCAGAGGTAAACATACCAGGTAAAGGGTGTTTTTGCTAATCTTTGAAATGAGATCATGAAAATCCTAGTCAAGCAGCACTATTTCACATAATTATCTATGTAAATCAGTTTCTACTTGTAATATTCTATTACAAGAATCTATAAAAAGCAAAATACCGGTATGTTAATAACAAACTTCTGAAATTTGACATCATAATTAAGGAATAATGAGTTCACAAAAGCAGGGAGCTCCCTAAGCAACTTTCAAAATCTTTTTAATTCCAAGCCAAGTTTACCTATCATATAAAAAGAGAATACCTCAAATACTTCATAACCTATTTTAAGGTAGCATAATTTTTATCCCAAAATTCTATTTGAAATTATTCTATAAGCTACAATGAAAGCATGTCAAACATGATATGCAACATGGATATATTTAAGGAGCCGGTTAATAAAATGTGTATCAGGAAATCAGAAAGTTGTTGACCAACCATGTTTTAGATGAGACATGTATGTATTTTCTTTTTTTTTTTTTTTTCTTTTTTTTTGAGACAGAGTTTTACTCTGTCGCCCAGGCTGGAGTGCAGTGGCGCGATCTCGGCTCACTGCAAGCTCCACCAGGTTCACACCATTCTCCTGCCTCAGGCTCCCGAGTAGCTGGGACTACAGGTGCCTGCCACCACGCCCGGCTAATTTTTTGAATTTTTTGTAGAGACGAGGTTTCACCGTGTTAGCCAGGATGGTCTCGATCTTCTGACCTCGGGATCTGCCTGCCTCGGCCTCCCAAAGTGCTGGGATTACAGGCATGAGCCACCGCGCCCAGCCACGTGTATGTAGTTTAATGCAAGAATGTAGGATGATTTTTAAGTAACATCAAGCATTAACTACCAAGAATGTTTTAAGACTGATATGTTGATGTGTGTCCCTAGTGGAAACACACAGAAGCTTAGACTAGCATTCCATAACAAAAGATTCACCACACTCAATTATACTATCTATATCCCAAGTTTTCTCCTATTATATCATCACAATCAGGATTCTCAAAAAGTCCAGGAAGCTCCAGACAAAAGAAAATGTATTATCACCAAGCAAAATAACTACAAGAAGCAAGCATCTTGCAGAATCTAGAGCTCTTATAACTTACCTTTAACTCATGTAACAGGCCATATTTAATTAAAAAGGTCCTGAAAACAGGTTTTCTTCAAATAGGCTGCATAATCACTCATGCCAAAATCTAAGGGCCATCCATACCAGCAAACCAATGCAAGGAGAAATGCTTCCCCTTCAAAAACAAACAAAGAAAAAAGTATAATTAGAAGTAGTTCCAGAGCAGTATGGGAAGAAATCACAGGTCTCTCTACATACTACCCCACGGTTTGTAGAGGAAAAGTGTTTGTCTTATCATCAGTCAATTTGTCTGAACTGAGAAGCTCTGTCTTGAAAGATCCAGGTAAAGTACTTTGGTTGTGGCTTTGGTAAATCAAGAAGTTTGTTTTAACATTTACAAATTCTGAAAACACTGATGTCACACCTGTATTATATCATCTCCTAAAGCAACTAAGGCTTCGCCTCTTTATTTTCCTTACCTGAGAGTGGCCATTAATCTGAGAAGCTATTCTGGCAGAGACCATATCAAGTCAGTAACAGGAACTATTGTTACTCTGATAATTCCTTTTCCTTGAGTGATTACCACCTGCAAGGATGTAATTTAAAAGATGGAAAAGGTGACATTCACAACCACTCCTGGTAAATTCAAGAGAAAAAATGTAATTCCAATCAGTCTATCAGTATTATGGAGTTAACACCAATCTCTTTAGTGCTTGGTAAACCAACTGCTACAATCACTATGAATCATTCCCTCGCTGCCTACTATAAACCTTAGCTGCAAAACCTAAAAATCTCTTCCCTTTTATAAATGGCTTCTTTGTTCCATAACCAATTCAAACTGGACCTAGAGACTAGGGCATTTCTGAACTATTTAGCTCCCAGTTTGTCACTTGGTGATACCACTGGACATAACCGTAATTTGTATTTCAGTGTACCAAGTATGTTTTAGTGTGTCAGTTATCTTTATTATCAGTAGTACAACTTATCAACTCAAATATGCAACCTCCTGCCTCCCAGTACCCAGGATCTTCCACTCATTTAGTAATTTATAAATAAATACTTACTCAATGGTAGAAAATGATTATTCCAGTATCACATCCTCTATTCTGATCATAGGACACTGTAAAACCTGATCAACTGAGGTCAACATCCCAAGAAAAAGAGTAACTTCTATTTCAAATGCCTTGATATGTAATGAGCATGGACTGTGATTCACTACAACTTCCTTCAGTATATAGGTGGCCTTACAAGGCCTTTCATCCCATCCCCACTTCCCTTCAGATAATGTGACATAGCAACATGAGAAGCAGGAGGCCATGTGTGAAGCAGCACAACCACTTAAACCCCCGGGTCATGAAAACATTATTAACCAACACCAGTCAATGCACAAAGTGAAAGTTAGATAGCAGAAAACCTTTTTATCCTAAGAATTAAAGAGAATATGATTTGAATCAACTGCTTAATAGGCATCACCCTCATCCACAGTAACTTAAGATCTCATCAAAATCAACAGGCAAAAAAATATATACAACAGTACCTCACAGTTTAATTGCTCTATGCATTTATTATTAGCTATTATTAATGCAGAATGAGGGAACAAAAAGCTCACAAACACTCTACACAATTTCACAAGACGCATTGCAGGGGAAAAAGTGACTGAGATGGATCAACAGTATGCTAAGGTCTTGGTGGACGCATTCCTGGGGGAGGTGGACCTGGAAAGGAAATAGAAACATTGAGAAAAAGAGGATACACATATTCAGGGGCCTGGCTGAACCATCAAACCCCTATGCTCCCACTCACCTCTAATGCCTGGTGGAGGGGGTCTCATTCCCGGAGGCGGCATGCCTATTGGCGTCCCTCGAGCAGGGGGAAGCCCAATTGGTGGGCCCATGGGTGGTCTCATACCAGGTGGAGGAGCCATAATGCCTACAGTGAAAAATGGTAGAAATAAAGGCCTCATAAAATGGCTTAGAAAAGTTAGAATTTAGCCCAAATAATCCCTAAAGAAATGGGCCAGACAACAATGATAGAGTCAAATAACTTCTATATGACAATTACTCTTCTATGTCTTTCATTAAAAACCAGTATCTAGAAGAAGGAAGCATATTCCCCAAATTCTTAGGCTCTCAGGCTGTGTCTTAAATCAGTAAGCTATCTCTCATCAGAGATTCAAGTTCGTCTTCGTGTTCACCAATCCCTTACCTGGAGGTGGGGTTGCTCTGCCGACGGGTGGGGGCGGAGTGCCCCGTCCTGGTGGGTACTGTGTTGGGGCTCCAGCAATACTGGCAGTCGCAGCAACAGCAGCAGCTGCTACAGTGCCTCTTCCCTGTGGAGTCATTACCTGAGAAGGCAGGGCGGGAAACAGTCAAAGCGATGCAAACCTTCACATTATTCAAACACAGAAAATAAATGAGAAAAATGACCAATTAGTTACAAACAACTGTTGCAATGTACTTCTCTCATTATTCCCATGTTTTTTTTTGAGACAGTTTCACTCTTGTCACCCAGGCTGGAGTGTAATGGCGCAATCTCAGCTCACTGCAGCCTCCCACTCCTGGGTTCAAGCGATTCTCCTGTCTCCCTGCCTGGTAGCTGGGATTACAGGCACCCACCACCACACACAGCTGATTTTTGTATTTTTAGTAGAGATAGGGTTTTCACCACGTGGGCCGGGCTGGTGTCGAACTCCTGACCTCAAGTGATCTGCCCACCTCGGCCTCCCAAAGTGCTGGATTACAGGCGTAAGCCACTGCACCCGGCCTATTCCCATATTTTAAAAACTAATCTTAGTACACTGACATCCAAAAAGCCCTTTGGTCTTTTCAACTGTGGTATATCCATGCATTCTGTTCACTCACCACTAGTGGCAAGTTACTCTTGCCAAGAGTAACCTGGGTAACTTTAATCACCCAATGACCATTTTAAGCAGCTAGTTTTATTCCCTTCCTCCCATATATCTGTGTTTTGGTTCCTCCTAAACCATATGCTGTTTACATTGTATGACACATACACTTAGGTTTTTAAATCTCCTCGGCCTCCGGCTTAGTCATATTCTCCCAATAATATAAAACCCTCTGCTGGTTCCTCACCTGCTGGGATGGTCCCCCAACTCCTCGGACAGGGCCTGCCAATCCAGCAGGGGCCTGGGGAATTGGCACACCAGCTGGTACTCCTCTACCAGCTGCCCTACCAACCCCAGGGCCTCCAGCAGCTCCAGCAAGTGGTACCCGAGCAATGCCAGTCTGAAACAAGAAAATTCATAGCCTAAAATCAAACAATTTACAAGTTCTCAGTATTCTTATTCATCAGAGATCACTTCTCTCCACCATTTTCCCATGACACCTATCTCATATTAGTTCTGTGTCCAAATGAACAAACAAGCAAGTATACCATGGAGGTATCTTGTGTATAAAATGCACATTATTTGTCAAATTGTGAAAACACCTCTTTTATAAACATACCAAGCAAACATGAATCACCAACTCCTACCCTTACCTAGGTAATGCCCAGCACATAGAATAATTCACCAAAAATCCCCTAATCCCGAATAGCATAGGCAACCAACAATTGATATTAAGTGCCTGGCACATTTTATTTGACAATCCATGTTGAACTGTGTCTGCTCTACCCTGATTTCAGACATCTCACATAATATGATGTCCCTGCAAATTAAAGTTCTGTCCTGCCCTACATCTTCCTTACATCTTTGGGGGGTGGCCCCTCCACAGTCATGGATACCAAGTTCTCCCCACGCAGCAACACCAGACCCAAAACCCGCTTTTCTTCACGCTCTGGTTGCTTCGCATTCTTTGGCCTACAAATCAGAATTAAATTTTAGTGAGATAAATTTTAGTGATCACTCACTCATCAAAATATTTATACAACCTCAAGTATCAATTAAGACAACTGATGCTAAACATTTACTGAGTTATCACTGAAAAACAAGCCAAAAAATATCTGTAAACACAGTTAATATACAAGGGTAAATAGTGAAGCTATTTTCTAATCTAACTTTAGTCTTTTACAGAATGTTCCTTTGATGTTACACTACAACAAGACTAATTTCTTTTGTGAAATACCTTTTAAGAAAAACAAAATTGAAACCTGGGTTTCCACATTAAAATGGAAATTTCTTTAAAAAATTACTTAAATAATTAAATCATAATGACAGGTGACACAGAACTGAAATAATGGGAACAGTGATAGGCAAAGAGAGGATACCAAATGGCAACCATATCCCAACTCCTCAACCATGAAGAACAACTGTTCTTCTCCATTTCAACCAAGATTTGGTCTAAGACTGCTGCAGAAGCCAACCAATTAATTAATATAGCATTTTTCTCAATTTTAAAAATAAATACGAGTATTCTGACCATAGCATATACTTTTACTCCCAGTAATAAATCCATGATTGTTTTACAAACTTAAAAGAGTTCAGATGCAGACTCTGACCTAATTCAGAGATCAGGTCAAGAGGTTAAACAATAGACTGGCTCTACCATAGTTTCCCTAACTACTTCAGTTACCCTCGGAAATCCCTTACTCCAGCTCTGGCCTTCCCTTCCCACTGCCTCTGTGTCCAACCCCCATTTGCCCAAATCAGCCTTACTTGATCTTTCTGAACTCATCACAATCACAGAGGATCAAATTCATATGCTTGTCAAAAGCCTTAAAGGTGCCAATGAAGATTCGGCCATCTTGCAGGATACATCTCATTCTATAGTCAATGTGCTGCAGCATCTTGCTACTCTTGCCAACAGTCTAGAAGCAGTAAGACAAGAGTCATGTTCAGCTTGCCAACACCCTAGTCTTCTAATCTTCTCCTGTTTCTTCTCCACCCTTACATAATCTAAGCCTGGTTTCCTTAACTAAACAAATATTCTCTCCTTTTTCACCAACATTCTTCCATATTTAGTATGGCTCTTTGGAGGACCACAAAGGATTATGAAGTATTTTTTCACATCTCAAGAACCAATTTTCACCTCCTTACAGGTGATTATCCTTCTCTGTGACGATGCATGCTCTAAACTGTCCACTCCCCTAAGTAAACCAAACCACAATGATGTAGGGTGTTCTCTCTCTCCAGACTGCTTTTCTCTGTACTGTTAATGCCAAAACCCTTCCATTTTCAAAGCCCTCTTTATTTCTATTGTAATCTGACCTGAGAGTCCATCATCTGCAGGACAGTCCTTCACCACTGGTGGAATCATGACCAAAAACTCCTGTATTTTCTCACATCATGAAACATTTCTCATGGCCAGGCACAGTGGCTCATCTCATGCCTGTAATCCCAGCACTTTGGGAGGCCGAGGTGGGTGGATCACCAGAGGTCAGGAGCCTGAGACCAGCCTGGCCAACACAGTGAAACCCTGTTTCTAATAAAGAGGCTGAGGCACGAGAATCTCTTGAACCCAGGGTTGCAGTGAGCCAAGACCGCACCACTGCACTCCAGACTGGGAGACAGAGCAAGACCCCGTCTGAAAAAAATAAAAATAAAAAAATCAGCTCATCTTCAGCTGATACTCAATGCAATGAGAATCCATATCCATGGATGTATCCTTATTTCTAACATTCAGAACCCAAGATCACTGCACATGCTGGCAAACTATTTCTTTCGGCCCTTACAGCACATTTCAACCCTCAGCCTTATCATACAGCTTACCATGATTGCTGTTCCACCAAATCCAATGTCCACAGTTAAAACTTGATGCTTCTGAAGACCTAGGGGAAGGCTATAGATAAAGGTATGACGCAGGTTCTCCTAGAAACAATGCAAGCTGGGCAGAAGCTTCAAAGAGTAGATGGAGCCTGCAGAGGAAAGCATGTTAAAGCTGCACTGCAATCTACCATGTTTTAAAACAGGCAGACAATTTTGCATGAAAATCACTATGACAGACACGTTCAAAAACATCCTTCCTCTCATACTAGCTTCCTCACCAAGGGACTGCCACATTTCCCTAGTCCCTCATTCTTAACTCTCACATTTGACACACTTAGGACTGATGAAAGTCATTGAATTTTATTTTACCTAGTAATTCCTAAATGTTTCAAAAACTAAGCGTCATTTTCCCAAATTTAGTATTTTTCTTTCCATCCTTATTTAAGGTAGTGTCTCTCTCTCTAGTTCAGAATTAATATGAAGTCATCTCTGTATCAACATCTCAATTACTCTTTCATTCAGATTTTTCCTTTTTTCTGAAATACCTATGTTGTCATTTGCAATATTCTTTCTTCCCCTAAATTCGCTTCAAGATGATGGCAGGTAATCTTTCCCCACTAAGAGCCAAGTGTGTTATAAACCTGCCTAAGACTTCCCATGTCAAAAGAGAACACATGACTATGGAATATATATATATAGACTCACATAAACAACTTTCATAGATCAAGTAATGAAGGACAAAGTTATAAATCACGTTAACGGCCGGGTGAGGTGGCTCACGCCTGTAATCCCAGCACCAGGGGAGGCCAAGGCAGGTGGATCACCTGAGGTCAAGAGTTCGAGACCAGCCTGGCCAACATGGTGAAATCCCGTCTCTGCTAGAAATACAAAAAAATTAGCCAGGCATGGTGGTGGGTGCCTGTAATCCCAGCTACTTGAGAGGCTGAGGTAGGAGAATCGCTTGAACCTGGGAGGCAGAGGTTGCAGTGAGCTGAGATCGCGCCACTGCACTCCAGCCTGGGCAACAAGGAGGGACAAGAGCAAAACTTCATCTCAAAATAAATAAATAAGTCACGTAATGGGGACACATTAGGAGAAATGCATTTGGTGATTTCATCACAGTATGAACAGTGTACTTACACAAACCTAGAGGATACACAGAGTCTACTATACTCTTAGGCAATATGGTAGATCCTAGGCTACAAACCTGTATATCATGTTACTATCCTGCATACTATGAACACTCACAATACAATGTTAAACAGAGAAGAGGCTGGGTGTGGTGGCTCACGCCCATAATCCCAACACTTTGGGAAACCGAGGTGGGCGGATCACCTGAGGTCAAGAATTCAAGACCAGCCTGGCCAACATGGCGAAAACCCTATCTCTACTAAAAATACAAACATTAGCTGGGTGTGGTGGCAGGCGCCTGTAATCCCAGCTACTCAGGAGGCTGAGGCAGGAGAATCGCTTGAAACCAGGAGGCAGAGTTTGCAGTGAGCTGAGATGGCACCACTGTACTCCAGCCTGGGCAACAGAGCAAGACTCCATCTCAGGGTTGGGGGTGGTGGGGAAGAGAGAGAAGGCACAATGAAAACATGGTTTTGTAATCTTAAGGGACTGCTCTGACATATGCAGTCTGTTGTTGAACGGAATTGTTAATGCAGCTCATGACCGTAATCAAGCATGCATAATGTTTCCCTTTTCTCCATTATTTATAAAATGCTATTAAATATGGCAACCAAATCTAGCCAGAATTGTAAAGGGTCTTGAAGTGCTTATCATACTAATTAAAAAATGAAACACAAATTACTTTTGAAAAGGATTCAAAAGTATCTTTTTGAGCGGAGATCGCACCATTGCACTCCAGCCTGGGCAGCAAGAGTGAAACTCCATCTCAAAAAAAAAAAAAAAAAAAGAATACTCTAATGCCTGGCTGTCATTCAGTGGCCATGAATCTGATGTCTGTACATTAAAAAATGTATTAAATAAAACCTATAAAGATCTCAAAAGAACTTTTCAAATAAGCAAACAAAGACCTCCACAAAAATTAAATGTAGTTTCTGTCCTAAATATGAGTAAGAGTTTAAGGACTATAACTTAGAAGTTTTGAATATTATCTTATGATTCTTTATAAAGCAGTCTAAATCCAAGAAAACATGGTATATGAGACTCATTAGCAATATCCTTTTTTTTTTTTTTTTGAGACAGAGTCTCACTCTGTTGCCCAGGCTGGAGTGCAATGGAGTGATCTCGGCTCACTGCAGCCTCCACTTCCCGGGTTCAAGTGGTTCTCCTGCCTCAGCCTCCTGAGTAGCTAGGATTACAGGCGCCCGCCACCACACCCGGCTAATTTTTGTATTTTTAGCAGAGAAGGAATTTCGCTACGTTGGCCAGGCTAGTCTCGAACTCCTGACTTCAGGTGACCTGCCGGCCTCAGCCTCCCCAAGTGCTAGGATTACAGGCATGAGCCACTGCGCCCAGCCAGCAATATCCATTTTTATAGCACTGCAACACTTGGGACCTTCAGCCATCCAAAGAGACAACAAGGATCATGACTGTGAATGAGCAAGACAGATCTTACTGTGGTGATGAAAATGTTTCCAGAGTAGTTCATGGCAATGATTGCACAGTTCTGTAAATTTACTTAAATCATTGCTTCATGCACTTAAATTGGGTGAATTTTATGTTTATCAGCACTACATCACTAAAGCCGTTTTTAACCCATTTATGCCAGAGGTTGGAATTTTTTTGTGAAAAATCAGACCTTGGCAATGACCTTGAGCAATAGGATATAAATAACTCCCACAAGCTTAGCGGTCCAGAGGTATGAAACACATCTAGGGATGTGAGTTATGGCCCAAAGAACTGAAGACCTAGAGAATTAGGGACAGATTATTATTTTATATTTATATATATATCATAATATAATAATAACCTGTATAGCTAGAAGAGATATATGTTTTACTCACAATAGGAGTTGACCTCCTACAGCAGTTAAAAGGATTCCCTTAAGAGACAGATTTGGAATTTAGAAACAGTTCTCTCTCATCCCTAAATGTGATACAATGTAGTCATGACCTTGTAAGTGAAAGAAGAAAATAAATCACTGCAGAGTGGTCAAATTTATCTTTACAGCACAAGAAAACAAAACTTCATGAGAAAGGCGACGAGAGTAGCAACATCACACTGCAAGGATGGATGAGCAGTCATAGTGTATCTTCTGAGATCAAAGGGCACATAAGCAAATTAACGAACTGGTATCCCTCACAGAAGCACAAGTTTTCAAACTTTAGGAAACTGTAGACTTTCAAATGATTAAACTACATAAAAATGTAAATCTACTTTAATTCAAAAGTAAAATAAGATGACTAGGGTTGGCCAAAGCACACATAGCAAATAGTAAAATAAGATGACTAGGGTTGGCCAAGGCACACATAGCAAATGAGACACACCATGGAATATCAGTATTGATCTGTTAAAATTTAAAATTATAGAGGGTCTCCATAGAGATCCTCCATCGAAGAGTATGCAAAAACAAGTGACAAAAGAAAACTAAATGCAAAATATTAATACACAATAATTCCAATTAAAAACACAAGAAAACAAATTTCCTTTATTGGAAAGGTTTATTTAACAAAAACAAAAAAACACCAGAATACAAAGGGTGGTACTGAGAAACTAATGGTCTACTAATTTTTAGTGGCCATCAGCACTTCTCATGATGTGTTTAGAAAACAATGTAACAAAAACGTTTAAAAGTCATACTAATATTACACCCTGCATCCCAACTACTAGGTAGGTATCCAGTTGGATATGTACCCTGGTAAATATTTAGGTACCAAAGAAAAACAGAATATTCATAACACAATTTTTTTTTGAGATAGAAGTCTTGCTCTGTCACGCAGGCTGAAGCGCAGTGGCACAATCTCTGCTCAATGCAACCTCTGCCCCTAGGGTTCAAGAAATTCTCCTGCCTCAGCCTCCCGAGTAGCTGGGATTACAGGTGTCCCCCACTACACCCGGCTAATATTTGTATTTTTAGAACAGATGGGGTTTCGCCATGTGGCCAGGTTGGTCTCGAACTTCTGACCTCAGGTGATCCACCTGCCTCAGCCTCCCCAAGTGCTAGGATGACAGGCGTGAGCCACCACACCCGGCCACATTAATAGTTTATTTTCTTATTTTTCCTGGCCATCGTGTGCCTTACATTTTTAATGAAAACGGGTACGAAGTGTTTAAATGTTGTTAAAGACTACCCATCTTCCTCCACAGCAGACTTTAACATGACTCTTAGACTGATCCCTTCCCCAAGAAATTCATCTGATTGTCTACGCTGTAATGTATACTTCGTATATACTTCTATAATCTATTCTTTATCACCTTCTATGACATTATGACTATATTGACTGGCCCCCACTTTGGTGTTTTCTTCTTTCAATCTGCTCCTCTAAAATAAAACTCAGCCAATTATTTTCTTTTAAATAGCAAGATACTAAGTATTTTAGGCTTTGCCTGTCATTCAATCTGTCACAACTACTCAAAGCTGCACCACCGTAGCACCAATGTGGCCAAAGATAACATAATAAATGAACTGAGTTGTGTTCCAATAAAATTTCATTTATAGACACAGGTAGTGGTCCAGATATATTACCAACCCTTCTTCTACAGGAATACTAGTAATGGGTACTATTTAGGTAGAACTAGCAGTTGAGACTAGAATAAGATATAATTAAGTATCATAAAATTAGATGGTCCTACTTGCAGACTATAATGTATGACTTAAATGTTGTATTTAAAAATTTACAAAAATCTGTGAACTGAACTGAGAAGCTAAAAAATTCCTAAAAAGTAAAAAATCAGTTGTGCACACCTATTCAATGAAAAATTCCCTTACTCAAGGGAAAAGCTTTGGACAATGATTAGATTCCAATTTGCTTATGCAATTGCTAGAAAATGTTGTGTATAAAGGATTCAAGAAAGGAGGATTTCTCAGAAAATTTCTGTCTCCTTTGATTTAAACTCAAAATGGGCCGGGCGCGGTAGGTCACGCCTGTAATCCCAGCACTTTGAGAGGCCAAGGCAGGTGGATCACCTGAGTTCAGGAGTTTGAGACCAGCCTGGAGAACATGGTGAAACCCCGTCTCTACCAAAAATACAAAAATTAGCCAGGTGTGGTGGTGGGTGCCTATAATCCCAGATACTTGGGAGGCTGAGGCAGGAAAATCAGTTGAACCTGGGAGGCAGAGGTTGCAGTGAGCCGAAACCATACCACTGCACTCCAGCCTGGGCAACAGAGTGAAACTTCATCTCTAAATAAATAAATTAATTAATAACTCAAAATGGTGGCCATAAACAAGCCTAACTGATTCAAGTTGAAGGATAATACTTCAAAAACAGACTTAAAAAAAGGCTAGAAGGAATTTATCAGTAAACCCAATTCCTCTCTGCTCTTACTTTGTAAAAAGTAAATAGTAAACTCTCAGAAATGAGGGCATTCTAAAACTTAAAGTAGAAAAAAAGAAAAATCACAGAGGAAAAACAAGAAAACAAATCAAAATCGACTTTGTAATAACTTTTTCCTAAAAAATGAAAGCAACATAAAAAGAACTAAATAAATCTACATCACATTGAAAAATTATGAATAATATTTTTATTACATTGTCTGCTGATTCAAAGAGGAAATACATTGGTTAAAACAGAAAAGTGAGAAAAAGACAAAACAAAAAGGAATTAGTAAATAAGCATGAGAAAGTATTTAGATTCTCTAATACTCATTGTTAATTATGTGCTGTGTATTTATAATTCACTGACATAAACCATATTTGAATTAAAATAATGCTGTGAAAGTATGTTGTAACTGGCCCTTTATTTTTCGAAAGCAATGAATACTAATTTAATACTTTGCAATATAATTTAGAAAAATGTACCTTAAGTTCATATTCCTTGATTCAATTTATTTTCACATCTGCATATTTGAAAAAATTATTCTAAGTTTTATACAAAGCTATCTACTAAAGCTTTGTTCAAACTACTGGCAGAAAAAAATGACACCTCCCACAAAAGGAAATTATAAACATTCAGTAACAGGGTATTCAAGAGCCATTTATAGTGAAATATTTTTATATAATTAAAAAAAACGCAAAAGAAAACTACCTGAAAAGCATGCGCTACAATAACTGGAATACAGAAACATGACGAAAGTGTCAGGGCAGAAAATTTAAGGTCCTGCAAAACTTTCTAAAACTTTCTGCAATGTGTTTATTGTATGAAGCTCTAAGGAAAAAAATTAATGTGTCACTGATAATTAAGAGAACCCCCAACACCCCATTCTTTAATGATTCTTTATTCTTGATCATTGCTGCATTAGCTCTAACCTGGTTTTTGCTTGGAATCAGATTCCTCGCTACTCCAATATGGCTTTAACCACCTCTTGGTGTCTCAGCTAAGAATGCCTGCCTCAGTTCAGCCTGGAAATCCACCACAGGTACTTGCTGCTGCTGAGAACGCCTCGGGTACAACTGACACCTACAACAAGAGCACAATATATATAAATGATAAAAATACATTTGTCTTTATAGGAAACCATATGAAAGAAAACTAGGTACCCTTACATTTAAGAAGATATTCCTTTTTTTTTTTTTTTTTTTTCCAGACAGGGTCTCATTCTGTTGCCCAGGCTGGAGTGCAATGAAGCAATTTCTGCTCACCACAAACACTGCCTTCGGGGTTCAAGTGATTCTCCTGCCTCAGCCTCCCAAGTAGCTGGGATTACAGGCACCTACCACCACACCCAGCTAATTTTTTTTTTTTTTTTTAAGACAGAGTCTCACTCTGTCGCCCAGGCTGGAGTGCAGTGGCACGATCTGGGCTCACTGCAAGCTCCGCCTCCTGGGTTCACGCCATTCTCCAGTGTCAGCCTCCCGAGTAGCTGAGACTACAGGTGCCTGCCACCACTCTCGGCTAATTTTTTTGTATTTTTAGTAGAGATGGGGTTTCACCATGTTGGCCAGGCTGATCTGGAACTCATGACCTCAGGTGATCCACCCACTTTGGCCTCCCAAAGTGCTGGGATTACAAGCGTGAGCCACCACGCCCAGGGAAGAAGATCTTTCTTTAGGGTCAGAGGATGACACTATCTTATGAGAAATTATAACACAAAACAGGAATCTCTACACAGAGATTGTACAAGGGACTAGTGGATACTTAAGATACTTACCAAGTCTAGAAATATTTCCAAAAGAACTAAAAACACAAGAGCTGGCAGCCTTGAAGAAACACCATCAGTACCATATATAGTCACTCACTTTCAAATTATCCTGTGTGAACAATCCTTTCTCCCCAGGGGTGAGGGGAGGGAGATGCTGCTAAAGCATTTGCAGGGAGATGTTTAGGCCGTCCTTCATATTGATCCTCCTGACAAGTCACTACCTGAAATATAGAACTTCCAGGGCTATTTAAGGGCTCTTAAAATATGTAAACCAATCATCTACTGGTAAGCAGGGAATTCCAGACAAAAGCCCTCGACATACCCCTATGAATCAGTAACCTGGCTGTGAAATCTGATGATGAGAAGGAAGACATACAGGAAATGACAGCTTGCCTTGAGGTGAGGAGCTGGGGGATCACCAACAATGCTGCCCTTGTTGGCATGTAAGGATTTGGAAATTGGACTTTTTTCTATGGTTTTTCAGTAACATTTTAAAATTGCTTCTGTATAATAAAGAATTTAACTGGCCTTTGCTCCTGGTTCCTGGGAAGTAACCTATACATCCTATACATCCTTGGAATTTACCCAGTGAAAGAAATGTGTTTGTTACTCAAGGTGGGTCCCTAGGATCACACCTGAGTTCTTGGTAATGAGATGTCTCAAGATGGTGACTAACCAGGCCACAAAAGATCAAACAAAGACTAAAGGGTTGGGGTTTTGAGCAAGCCCTCCTGGGAGGGCAGGAGAGTTGCTGACTGAATTCAGTGACATGTCCAGTGATTCAATCTTGTCAACATAATGAATCCCCAACAAAAATCATCGACATCTGGAGTTCTGGTGAGCTTCCTGATTGGTGATATACGCTAATGTGCAGGTAATGCATCCTGAGGACAGGGAAGATTTGTGTGGGACCTGCCCAGATTTTGCTCTATGCATCTGTTCATTTGTATCCTTTATAAAAAAAACTAGTAAGTATAGCACTTTCTTGAGATCTACTAGTCATTTATAAAACCTTAGTCAATTATAAAGTCTGAGAAAATAGTAGGACCTCAGAATCTATAGACTGTTGGTCGGAAGTGTGGGTGCCCTGCCAACCCTGGAGCTTGGAGTTGGTGTCTGCATTGAGGGGAATGTTCTGGAGGGCATCTAGACAACTGTGAAATTTGCACTAACTCCAAGTAGTCAGAATTGCACTGCACATACCTCTAAATCTTCACACTCTAATTCATAGTCTACTTTATACTCTAATTCATAGTCTAATCACTGAATAAATAAATCTTAATTTGGGCATTCTCCACTCTAACCTCTGTTTACAAATGACAACTAAGTTTCTGATTATTATTCATAAAGGTCTAAAAAGTGTTTCAGTAAAAAAAAATATATATAATGTTATCTTGAAACGTAAGATAATTCTCTATTGCAATGTCCCCCTCAGATCTAACCTGTAACCCAATAGAAGATTAAAGACTGAGAAAATGAGGCAGCCTACACAGAATTTAATTCATAGAGTGCAGAATATTAATTTGAAAAGACATGTGAAGCTTAGCATAAAATATATTAAGACAACTCTCCAGCTCCAATTTCCAATTTCCCTTCGAACTCACGATACATCATCCAGCCCCAAAGAATAAGAGCTAATTTAGTGACAAATACACTGAAAGACAGAATAAAAAATTTAAAATAAATCAGTGAACTTTTTATTTTTACTTTATTTTGAGATGGAGTCTTGCTATGTCACCCAGGCACAGCCAATGGCACCATCTCGGCTCACTGCAACCTTTGCCTCCCAGGTTCAAGCGATTCTTCCACCTCAGCCTCCTGAGTAGCTGGGATTACAGGTGCACACTACCACACCCGGCTGATTTTTTTATTTTTCTAGAGATGAGGTTTCACCATGTTGGCCAGGCTGGTCTTGAACTCCTGACCTCAGGTGATCTGCCCACCTTCGCCTCCCAAAGTGCTGGGATTACAGGCGTGAGCCACCGCACCCAGCCTCCTTCATTGATCTTTAGGGCTAATAACCACACAACTCCTCCAGGAAGACTGCCTCCCAATACTACTTATGATTTGGTAGGAAGTAGGAGATGAATGGGTAAATATTGAACACTTCTAGTATAACATTCTAAGTATACCAATCCTGAGAATCCTAAACACATGGACAATGAGGCAGTGTTAACCAATCCTGCTTACCCATTCCATAATCCAATTACTCTCAAAATGAAAACGCACAAGGGGGAAAAATTATACTATTTCCCTAACTCTACACTTTACTCAGATCATTCCCCCAACTCAAGACCCTGCAGTATTTGTACATATATATGCAGTGCAGATAAGAAAAACTCAAGTTATTTCTTCTTCAAAACCATCAAAATGTTTCCATAAATATGGACAAGATGCCTAGAAGGCTAACGTCATCCCACAACAAGATGAGGATGAGACTACCTGTTATTTAGTCCACACTGAGGTTACATAGGAAAAAAACTGTAACAAAAATATAGCAAGATAGAACCTTCACCCACTTAACAGTCCTAAACCTAAGAGTCCTAAACCTCAGCCCTACCTCCACCACCATCTCTGAACTACCTCTAGAAACTCAGGGAATAGTAATGGCACTTTAAAAAAACGTCAGAGCTGCAAAAGAATGAAGGGAGAGGCTGGGCGCAGTGGCTCACACCTGTAATCCTAGCACTTTGGGAAAGAAACCAAGGCGGGCGGATCATCTGAGGTCGGGAGTTCGAGCCCAGCCTGACCAACATGGAGAAACCCTGTCTCTACTAAAAAAATACAAAATTAGCCAGGCATGGTGGCACACACCTATAATCCCAGTTACTTGGGAGACTGAGGCAGGAGAATCACTTGAACTTGGTAGGCGGAGGTTGCACTCCATCCTGGGCAACAAGAGCAAAACTCCGTCTCAAAAAGAATGAAGAGATGAAAAAAGAGATTTCATATCAAATAAAATGAATGATCGAATAACCTATTATATATAAAGGACAAATTATATTACACAAAATACTTTCAAAATATTTACCAATATACAAACAAAACGTACATAAAATACGTCTTCCAAAGCAATTTTAAAAAATGAAAATGTACTTAAATATACTCACTATAGTAAAAATCGGCAAAATAAATAGGAAAAAATAAAAAAAAAATCTTTACCCTCACCATAATTTAAAACTTGCTAACAGATGTTTTACAACTTTTTTTTTCTTTTTGAGACTAGATCTCATTCTGTCACCTAGACTGGAGTACAGTGGCACAAACATGGCTCACTGCAGCCTCAACCTCCTGGGATCAAGTGACCCTTCCACTTCAGCCTCCCAGGTAGCTGAGACTACAGGTAGACAACACCACGCCTGGCTAATTTATTTTTCTGTAGAGAGGAGGTCTCTCTATGTTGCCCAGGCTGGTCTCCACCTCCTGGGCTCAAGTGATCCACCTCAGCCTCCCAACATGCTGGGATTAGAGGCATGAGCCACCACATCCAGCTCAACTTTTCACATATAAAATGAGGAAATAACAAAAGACACACAAACTACTACTCAGTTTTTACTATGAGGAAAAACCTTTAATTTGAAAAAAATAAAATAAATTAGTATTCATACACTGCATTTTCTTTTTTTTTTTTTCCTGAGATGGAGTCTTGCTCTGTCACCCAGGCTAGAGTGCAGTGGTGCCATCTTAGCTCATTGCAACCTCCGTCTCCTGGGCTCAAACAATTCTCCTGCCTCAGCCTCCCAAGTAGCTGGGATTACAGGCACGTGCCACCACACTCGGTTAATTTTTGTATTTTTAGGAGAGACGGGGTTTCACCATGTTGGCCAGGCTGGTCTCGAACTCCTGACCTTGTGATCCGCCTGGCTTAGCCTCCCAAAGTGCTGGGATTACAGGCATGGGCCACCATGCCTGGCCTACACTGCGTTTTCAAAGTGACTGTTCTTTTCATTGTTAATAGCCAAACAATGCAAACAAACTAAATATCCAGCAGCAAGCTAACGATTACAATAATAATGTTATCACACCACGCACACTTTGTAAAATAAGGTAGATTTATGTGTACTGATATGAAAAGATCACCAAGACATATTGTCAAAATACAGACAGCACGGTGTCGTATGCACACAAACTTCAAATGTGTCCCATGTCCTCCCTTCCTCTCTCCCCACTACACACACAATGCATAGGACAAGGTCTGATGGCTATTTACTTAATGATTATCTCTGGGGAGGAAAAGGCCAGTTAAGTTGGTAGTTGCTTTAAAATGAGACTTACTTTTTATGCAAAACTGTTTTACAAAAAGAATCATCTTCATGAATTTTTAATACTTATAATTAAAAAAAACAATTGTAGCTAAGAAAAAAATGCTACCTACTGATCAAAATTTTAATGGCATCAAATTTTAATGCCATCAAAATTTTAATGGCAATGACAAAATGCCAAAGTTTCAATGTGGACTAAATATGTATTAGGTCATTTAAAATGTTCACCTATTTTTAATTAAAATTTCCCTTCTAGAAATCTAAATTAAAATATGTGTCTGAGTGTGTCTGTGTATACATCCTATATATACATTCCACATATATATACTTAAAACAGGATAAAAAACACAAATGTATTTTAAATTTTAACAGAATAAATGCACTAACCAAAAACAAACACCTAAATATCACAGAGCAAGAATGAATATGTAAATTAATCACTTCAGCGCACAGTACATTTTGCAAGCATACAAAGTGATTTAATAATGCAGAAAAATTTAAGTATGCTTATGTTGAAGGGTAATTACAAAATTTTATAAAGATAAAATGCACTTACCCACGTATAGGAAAAAAGAAAATTATACTAAAATCTTTAAGAGGGTGAATTATTTTAGGATAATATGGTTAAGAATTTCATTGCTTTTTTACTACATCTTCTGTATTAGATGTGTCTGCTTCTTCAATTATGTTCATTTTAATCCCCTCATTGCATGATATTTTGTTCTAATCTGAAAGGAGATTCTGACTTGCATTTGTTCCCAACACAGTCTGTACTCACTCTTGGTTGCTCAGTGAGGCAGTCCTTCTGCGTTTGACTTGGACTTCCACCTCTGGTACGTGCTGTTCTGTAGTTCGTCTCAGGTGTAAGCGATCCCTGAAACAGAAAAGAGAGGCATTTGTTTGGTAGACTGCATCAATCTATGAAATAACTATTTGTCAAGGTTATATTTAGAACTACATTTAATATAATGGATTTTTAAATCTAATTAAAACAAGGTAAAATTATTACAAGATCTTTAACCTTCAAACAGTCATAATCTATGCTATAACCACTTTTTTCTCCTTTTAGAAGCCCATGACATCAGAAAATCTGGTTTTAAAAAAAATCAGAAAATGAAATTAAAATAATATATCTACCTCTATTTGTAGTCACGTACATATAAAATTCCCACTTATGCAGATGTAGATACATACATACCACCACTACCCTACTCACCTTCCCCCCAAAAACAGTAAACCTGATTTCCAAAATGGTTTCAAAAAATATTTTTAGGATACAGTAGACATACTTATATAGTGGAATAGAACATAGTTTAAATTATAAAATATCTACTTTAAAAAAACATGCAAATGGTGCTTTCTTTAGGATTTGCAAAGCAATAGAAGAGCTGCTCAAGCTAAAAACTATCCACATAGCAAAAACAAACAAACAAACAAAAAACCCGCCATGTTACGTCTGCAGAACCCCTCATAAAATGGCTGCTCAAGGGAACAGAACATGAAATCCCACACCAGACTAGCCATATTAGGGACTGCAGAAACCACCTATGAACCTTTAAAGATGATAAATCAGAAAGGTCAGCAGGACCTTTCACTAAAGTAACACAAGTAATATCTCAAAAGCAAAATTCAAAGATACATGCCAAAAGCTATTAATAATTCTCTGAACCCTAGATGTTTTTAAGTCATGTTAGACTTTTAGATTGGTAAAATAGCTTACCAATAACGCACAGCTGTTTTATTCTTTCAAGAGTTTAAATGTTCTAATCAAGCCATACACACATATTTGATTTCTAAATGGTAAAATTTTATACACTGATAATGTTTATTACTTTTGATTACACAATGGTCTATTAAATATAACACCTGAATTACAAGCAGTATAAAAAATAAAGTGGACTTCATCAAAAAATAAAGTTCCGAAAACACTAAAGAAAGTGAAAGGATAACCAGAATAGGAAAAAATATTTGCTTAACATACAGCTAAGTTTCTAGTATCCAAAACAAACAAAAAGAAAATCCAAACAATGAAAAAAAAGAAGGTAGGGAGAGGCAAAGAAACTTTTTCAGGTGACAGACACATTTATGCCACTAATTTTGATAAGAATGATTTCAAAGGCATGTACTTATCTCTTAGCATATCAACTTTTAACATTAACTATCTACAGCTTTTGTATGTCACTCACACCTCAAAAAAGTATTTTTTCAAGTTTGGTATCCAGAATATGTAAGGAACTCTCACAACTCAACAATAAAAGGGCAAATTCTATTGCTACGATGGGTAAAACACTTGAATAGACAGTCCTCCAAACACATACAAGTGGCTAATCTATATGAAATGATGCTGAACATTAGTCACTAAAAAATGCAAATCAAAATCCCAATGAGGCAGGGCGCAATGGTTCATGGAAGGCTGAGGCCAGCGATCACTTGAGCTCAGGAGACCAGCTTGGGCAACATCTATACAAAAAAATACAAAAATTAGCTGGGTGTGGTGGTGCATGCCTGTGGTACCAGCTACTCAGGAGGCTAAGGTGAGAGGGCGCTTGAGCCTAGGAGGCAGAGGTTGCAGTGACCTGAGATCATGCCACTGGCACACCAGCCTGGGTGACAGAGCCAGACCCTGCCTCAAAATGAAAAAACCCCCACTGAAATGCCACCATCTGACACCACAATATTTGTAAAGGATGTGGGGAAACTGCTGGTGGAAACATAAAGTGTTATATATAGACTTTGCCAACTTCCTAAAAATGTTAATCATGAAAGTAACATATGACACTAACTCTACTGCTAGATGAAGTAATATTACAAGACCCAAACTCAGCCTCCAAAGTAGCTGGGATTACAGGCATGCACCACCACACCCAGCTAATTTTTGTATTTATAGTAGAGACAGGGTTTCACCATGTTGGCCAGGCTGATGTCGAGCTCCTGCCCTCAGGTGATCTACCCACCTCGGCCTCCCAAAGTGCTGGGATTACAGGCATGAGCCACCATGCCCAGACAGTTCATGTTCTTTCTATTATACCTGCAGCCTTCCCAGCTACCACTACTCTCATACTTCCAAAAAGACAAAATTTCAAGAACCTGGCATATACGAGGGCTAAGTAAAACCTTGTGAAACTAATTCTTTGTATTAAACGTATTATACGTGTTCCTAGTAGCATTATTCATAATAGCCAAAGAGTGGAAACAACTCAAATGTCCATCAACTTACGAATGAAGAAAATATGATATATCCAAACGAATGTCTTTCAGCCATAAAAAGGAATTTAGTACTGATCAGTGCTACATTATGGTGGGCACACAAATACAGCTAATAATGTAGTACCTTAATATAATACAATTAAAGAAACTATCAACTAAACCATGATTAATCTAATAGTGTACAACTGCAAACACTGTCTTACCAAAAAACAAAAAGAACCCATTCGGCAGTTGCTCAATATGAAAGGTCTGAGGTCAACTGAGGAAATAGCCATCAAACCAAAATATTCTATTATTTCAACTTTCTGAATTTACCTTTTTTTAAATGTAGAGACGGGGTCTCAATACCCAAGCTTGAACTCCCAGGCTCCAGTGATCCTTCTGCCTTGGCCTCCAAAAGTGCTGGGACTATAGACATGAGCCACCGCACCTGGCTTAAATCTACTTATTTTTAATCTACATATAAAATGTCATCTATAAGATTTTGAAAACACTACTTTATTGAATGTTCTAGATACACACACACATGCATTTATCTAACTGCATCCCCAACACAGAAACCAACATTTTATGAAACTGAGGACATCATGAAAAAATCATCATATAGAAAGGGTGTTAAATGTTTGCCCTCAGATCACTTACACTGAAAGTAATAATCCGGAAATATATTGAAAAGCAAAAAGCAATGGAATCCCAATTTTATTACGGCCTAAATTTTCCATAAAATTTAACTAAGATCTCAAGAATAAAAATAAACAAAGTTGGCCAGGTATAGCGGCTCATGGCTGCAATGCCAGCACTTTGGGAGGCCTAGGCAGGGGCACTGCTTGAGTCCAGGAGTTCGAGACCAGTCTGGGCAACATAAGGAGACCCCTCTCTACAAAAAAATAAAAAGTTAGCTGGGCACAGTACCTCAAGCCTGTACTAACAGGCACTTGGGAGGCTGAGGCAGGAGTCTAGATTGATCCAGGAGTTTGAGGTTACAGGGAGCTATAACTGCATCACTGCACTCCAACCTGGGCAACATAGCCAGACCCTGTCTCCTAAAAACAAAAAAATAAGGTTAATGATAGGCTGCTAATCTGTACCCCATGAATATAAGAAACCTCATTGCCTCCAAAACAAATCTGAGGAGAATTAACAAAAAGAGAATTTGGGCCAGCCACAGTGGCCAGAGAGAGACTGAGGAGGGAGAGGATATAGCTTGAGTCTAGCAGTTCGAGTTCAGCCTGGACAACATAGGGAGACCCTGGTCTATTTAAAAAAAAAAAAAAAAAAAAAAAAAAAAAAAAAACTTTGAGCCAGCTAGCATCCAGAAATGGAGAGAGGCTACCTTAAGTAGTAACAATTCTCACTCAAGCTTTCTGGCCCTGGGCCACAAAAAAAAAAAAAAAGGAGACAGGACCAGTGACAGGTCTAAATAAGATTTTTAAAACTTCATTGTCCAAGTAATTGAGGGCAGTACTCACAACCTGCTTAAATGATTCTTCCTAAAAAATAGCTAAACAGAGGGCGCTGATAAACAAAGGAGGTTATCTTGGCATCCTTGACACCTTATAAACAAAATTTTTTGTAAAACAAAGATGTTTATTAGGAAAAGGAACAGGGTAAGGGAAACATAAAGATACAGAGTAACTATAAATGTGGAAAACATTTCGGCAATGACACACTGGTCAGATAGAATAGTGAAATCAAGATAAGGCAAGGTCTGTGAATAAATCCAAATCAGTTAGTACCCTGCCTTAGACAACAACATAAGGGTCTCTCAACCAAGCTTCCTTCCTCTGCATCACAGGAAGGGCTGCCACTCCCTGCCTCCAAAAAGCCCTAGCACAGAGCCAATTCACTGAGTAGGACACAGACCTTGAAACTTCAAGAGGCCTTTCCAAAGGGATCTGCCATATTAGGATCCCGGGCCTGAATGCAAGACTACAAAATGGCGGATCAGACTAAATACTCAGCTTGCAAATAGCCAAATGACCAGAAGTTAAACCAAGAAATATATGTATGTGAACTGCTATCTTCATGCAAGCAGAAAAAAAAGGGTAAATTATAAATATCATATAAAATCCCAGACTCCTGCTATTTTTAAAACTACCCAAAAATAGATTATTCCAGAACAAGGCTTTTCGGGCTTCGTAGATTTAACTTTTCTGTTAATTACAACTCAGTGCAACCAGACATACCAGTTATGATAGAGGGAAAATGTAAATACAGAAAAGGCAAGCACTGAAAATCCTGCAAAGGAAGACAAAATCCTTAGAATAAAATGATTTTTTAAAAAAGTACTGGAATATAAAAATGCAGTTATTCATTAACCTTTCTCACCAAATTTTTGTAGTAGCTCCAACTTCAAAAATGATCATTAATTTAAAAATCCAAAAAAAGACAGTAACTGATCCAAAGCACAACCCCACCCCAATAAGATTGTCTCCACTTTTCTCTTTTATTCTCTTTGAGCACAAAACTTGCAGCTTTCAACTCCCAGAAGATGAAGAGGTCCAGTGTTTGAAACACCTTTCAACCTTAGTCGGGAAGAGCCATCACGATGTCCTCTCCCCCAACCCATTTAAGGAAAGTATGCAGTGCATCAGAATGGACTATCCAGAGATTAAGAAGGATAACTGAATCTTAAATGGTGACATTTATTAAATGTGTCGAATGGAAATCAAAGACTACAGGGAGTTAAAAAAAAGGGGTTAACAAGTCCAGTTTGAAAATAGAGAATTAGCGCACAATACAACCAAGAGAGGAACTACAAAAATGAAAAGGTACGATTTTCCAGGGAGTCAGAAAACCAATTTAAAATCTCTATCATTAATGGAGGCTTGCTGAAACAGCACAGCAGGTCTTGGGGTGGCTGCACCTTTGATGGCCTCCAGGCCGCCACCACTCTAGTTTACTGCAGAGCTGAAAAGCAGTAGCCCAGTGCAGCTGCCATCCCACACAGGCGGAGGTGGTACAAATGCCTGGCCTCTAGCCACATTCCCCTCCAGTCCTCTACTGCTGCACCGTGGGTAAGGGGTGGCTGCCAAGCTTGCTAGGCGGAGCCTGCGCCAACCCATCTCCCTCCTCCCCCCTCTACTGCGCCACAACCGGAAAGGAACAGCTGCTGTATCAGCCAGGTGAAGGGGAGGGCTGCCATTCCTTCCAGGCAAAAGCTGCGTAAGCCCTCGCTCCCCTGCCCCACGTCTCGCCCCACTGCAAGCGGAGGCGACTGTCACCTCTGCTGCGTCTGCGCAACCTGCATCCTTTCCCAAGCAGCACTTTGGGGAGGGGGCAGCCGCCCACCTTGGCCGGCTTCCTCTCCTTACCACTGCACCCTAAAGAGGGTACGGCTGAAACTCCGAAACAGCAGAAGCTGAACACACACCACCTGCCCCCTCCCCACTGGCGGCTCTACAGGGAGGAAGCGGCCACCCCCCCGCTGAAGCGCTTGCGCAGATCTAAGCCGCTGCAGCGGCGGCCATCTTGAAGGAGCTGCACAATGGCAGTGACGCAACACAGACCCCCAGGTTATTTCGACATAGCCTTCCAAGACCTGGTTCCCAACAGAGAGAAACAATGAAAAAAAAGTAACCCCCAGGCATCACCTGGCCTATCAGTCAAAAGATCTGTAAATGCAAGTTCTGCACATCATTCCAGTCTTCTTATGCCATAGCCTCTAAAGCGAGGGTTCCTAAAGGGTACGCAAGGATTCCACGCATTTCTGCAGCCCCTGCGGCAGTGTAGGCATTGCGCAGTTTTAATAAAAAAGCACCACCACCACAGTAGGCAAACCAGATGACCATCGCAGGTCACAGGAAAATTAAAGGCTGCGGACTGTGCTACTGCCCCTTCTGATGCCCCCTCCTCTACACAGCAATCATTCAGCGTCCCTTAGTCACTCCGGACAGCGACAGGCCCCGCGGCCGCCATGCCCACCGCCTCCATGCCATGCCCACCGCCGCCATGCCTACCGCCGCCAAAGTCCACCACCGCCATGCCTACCCGCTGCCAATGCCCACCGCCGCCAATACCCACTGTCGCCGCCTTCCCCCTACCTCCCAGCCACTTCCTACGGACTCTCCCCGCGCCGCGACCACCAACACAACCCCCACCACTGTCACACCGACTCATCCCCCTGGTCCACTGCCATAGCCTCCTCGCCTCGGTCACTGCGACGAATTCCCCCCCCAGTCGCCCCACGTACCCTGCTCCACCACGCAGTGGTCACTATTATACACCTACCTGCGCTCAACACCCCCTAAATACCGATCACTTCACGTACCTTCGCCCCGCCACAATCACTCCAATATACCTACCTCCGCCTAAAATCCCTATGCACTGGTCCCCCCACGTACCCTCGCCACACGGAACTGCAATCACCCTGATGTACCCACCTCCACCCATGTCCCTTGCCCACTGCGGTTACCCCGCATGCTCCCAGTCACCACCGCCCTTCCCACCGCAGACACCCGCAATAGGACCTGTCGCGACACCACAGTTGGGGGCGGATGGGGGACGCGCCCCAATGCGAGCGGACAGGATACCATCGGGGCAGAACGGCACAACAGCAAGCCTCTGAACATTCCGGATCTGGTTCTCCAGAACAAAGGACTTTAGGGCCCAAATTCCGTTTATTCAGTACTCCAAGTCCTAAAAACTTGGAATATCTGATGAATAAAAGTGGCCGCTCCCCAGGCTGTCTCTTGAGAGAAGCCACCGGCACAGCTGACCTTGCCCGCTCCATCGCGTCACTGACCGCTCCTCAGACAGATGCGTCAGGCATCTCCGGCGGCCGCTCCACTCTGCGCCAGACTCGCTGCAGCAGCGGCAGGCTTCGCACACATCCCCGCCTGAGCATGCGCGCCAGCCTGCCTCTGCGGCCGCGCAGGCGTGCTTGTTTGCCGCAGTGCAGGGGTCCCAGCTCCCTCCCTCACCGGAATGACCTGGGGGGAGGGGGCTACTGGACCCCTAGGGCCCCACAGCACTGTTGCAATGAGAGGGGGCCTCTAGAAACCATAAGCAACCTGGGATCAATGGACATGTCTACCTGTTTTTTAAAATGTGTAAAATACTAAAGAAATAATTCTTGGTTCTACAATAAATTTTTGCACACACCACTGGCCAAACAATCCTAATTTACACTCACCCTCAGGTCTTCCTATGTGCGGTACAAAAAAGCTGGTTTGGAAAAGTTAAATGCGCCATAACCACAATCAATGCAAATACGCCAGACTTGAAATCCTTCCAAAAGAAAATATCCCTAACTCTAAAAGCATGCTACATTGTTCAAATTTGGTGCGATTTTTCTACCCTTTTTCTACTTTCTACATTTTGAGGGGGTAAATTGTGAAAATTATCTCCCCCAAAATCACAATATAATTAAACTCTCCTATACGGAATGGATAGATCATTCAACTCAAAAACACTGGCTATTCAATTTTTGTAAAACAAAAATATGAACTTAGACCCCCACCTAAGATCTAAGTAGGAGAGCCTTTCTTTGCCTATTAGAATTGGATACATTAAAATTTTTACCAATAATCAATGATAGCTGGAGTGGGGAGAAACAGGCACTTTTATATAATACTAATGGACAAGTAAACATTATTTACGACATAATATTCTATCTGCAGAAATAACGGAAGCATCAGTAACTCCAAAATTTAGACGCTGATGTAGCTTGGGAAAAGACACTGCAGAAAAGAAGAAAATAATCCTGAAACTGCATCTGCATAGTTTTTACACACATTTGCCCTTTCTCAATTGCCCATTATCGAAGAAGGGAGGGTGATGTGAGTGGAGGTTGACTAAATGGTTAAATCCCCTCCCAAGCCCTGTAAGCTACTGCTCAGTTCCCAATGATCCTACATTAAAACAGGTGCGCAGAGGCTTATCAATGCTGACTTCTATCGTAACAAAATCTCAGAAACTGTGTAATGTTCCTCACAGAGAACAGATAGGCTAACTAAATAAACGTATATATAAATAATAACATGCAATATGGCTGATGGAAAAAATGATGTATTAGGCTGAATCATATAAAATTGTCAATATTGAATTGTTTTGACCTACAAAAACATTGCAATTTCTAATAGTTCATTGATACATATTCACATAAAATAACATGGGAAGTTGACTCTGATCACGGGAGTCAATCGAAAAATAAAATGTAGGCTGGGCACAGTGGCTTACGCCTGTATTCCCAGCACTTTGGGAGGCCGAGGTGGGCAGATCACGAGGTCAGGAGATCGAGACCATCCTGGCCAACATGGTGAAACCCATCTCTACAAAAAACAGAAAAATTAGCTGGGCGTGATGGCACATGCCTGTAATCTTAGCTACTCGGGAGGCTGAGGCAGGAGAATTGCTTGAACGTGGGAGGCGGAGGTTGCAGTGAGCTGAGATCACACCACTGCACTCCAGCCTGGTGACAGGGCAAGACTCCATCTCAAAAAAATAAATAAAATAAAAGCATACTGTATGTTCAGTTTTACACTGAAAAAATTATGAAAGAATACACACCATTATAGTCCAGTGATGAAAACCATGCCTTTGGACTCAGGCTCTTTTGATTCAAATTCTAGCTTTGACTCTTGACCACAATGTTACTTTGAGCAAGTTATCTAACCCTCTGTGCATTAAATTCCTAATCTGTAACAAAAGAAGGGATTCTGTTTACTTTATACAATGGCTTAACAATTAAATGAGCTAAAATACTATTTAGAACAGGTCCTAGTATAAGCTGGGTAAAAATGTTGGCTCTTAGAACTTCACCAAATGTTAGAGTACTACTTCTTCTAGGAGCAGGAATTGGGTGTTCATTTTTTATTCTCATTGTTTTAACTAATTTCTATATCTTATATTTCTTTTTTTTCCTAATATCCTTTTTCCATTGTGGACACCAAACTTACATGCCACAAACATTATAATCATGTTTCTTTAGGTTTCTCTTGGCTGTCACAATTTGAGATTGTTTTGTATTTTTAATTTTTACAGTGCTTGGTACTTTTTGCAGTGATTATGAATTACTTTTACAATTAAAGTATTATTAAAATTAAATAAAATTATATTCAATTCTCAACTCGCACTTATCTAGTTTCTTGGACCTATCTTCCATTGTTTCTGGTGTGTTCTCTTTTCAAACTCTGACTGCCTTTCCTCATAATTTCCTGTTTGTTCTACTCCATTAGGAAATTCGCTTTGGAGTCTGAGAGGTCACAATGGGTGTCCTGGGCTTTACAGAAAATCTAAAGAGAACTGCCATTAGGCTCACTTATATTTTATGTTAGTTAATAATAGGTCTGATTCAACATATCCTACAACTGGGGAGTGAAGATACAGAGAAGGAGACATTGCCACTAAACTCCACTATGACATGCTAGTAGACCCTGATAGGTCTCCCAACAATTCAATTTTCCCAAAGTCTACATTTATCCCCAAGCCAAACACTTAAGGTTATGTACTTAAAGGACACTAAAACTGCAATAAAACTATTCTGTACAGAATAGACAAAGGAGACTAGAAAAACTAATCAGAACCCTTGCATCATACCATGTACAAAAATTAACTCAAAATAGATCAATAAAATATAAGTCACTTGTTATAGAACATATATATACATGTTATATATGTATACAGGTACACATATATACCTATGTATAAATGTGATATATAACATTTGTGTATGTGTATATTTTACACATATATTCCATGTATACTTATGTATACATGTATAAATATATGTGTGTATATATATAAATCCGTGTAACCTTGAATTAGGCAACAGTTTCTTAGATATGACACCTAAAACAAAAGCAACCAAAAATAATAAATAAACTGAACTTCATCACAGTTACATAAAAGTTTTCGATTCAAGGGACATTAAGAAAGTGAAAAGACAGCCAAGAGAATGGGAGAAAATATTTGCTAAACATAAAGCTACTAGGAGTGTAGTATCCAGAATGTATAAAGAAGTGTTAGTACTTGGCTGGGCGCAGTGACTCATAAGTGTAATCCCAGCACTTTGGGAGACTGAGGCAGGCAGATCACTTGAGGCCAGCAGTTCGAGACTATTCTGGCCAACGTGGTGAAACCCCGTCTTTATTAGAAGTATGAAAATTAGCTGGGCATGGTGGCACATGTCTGTAGTCCCAGCTACTCGGGAGGCTGAGGCAGGAGAATCCCTTGAACCCAGGAGGCAGAGATTGCAGTAAGCCCAGATCACGCCACTGCACTCTAGCCTGGGTAATAGAGTGAGACTGTCTCAAAAAAAAAAAAAAGTGTTACTATTCAACAATAAAAGGACAAAAACATTTTTTTTTAATGGGCAAAGGATTAAAATAGTTCTTAAATACCAATGGCCAATAAGCACATGAAAAGACACAATCGTTAAGTCATTAGAGAAGTACAAATGAAAACCACAATGAGATGCCACTTGGGGCTAGAATTAAAAAGACAATGACAAGGGTTGTGGAGGA
This sequence comes from Homo sapiens, assembly GCF_000001405.40. NCBI lineage: Eukaryota > Metazoa > Chordata > Mammalia > Primates > Hominidae > Homo > Homo sapiens. The sequence continues at coordinate 24,951,315 of NC_000015.10, read as the reverse complement.
GGTGGAGAAATTGGAACCCTCTAACACTGCTGATTGGGATGTGAAACAGCACAGCCACAGTGGAAGAGTTTGGCAATGCTTACAAATGTTAACCCTGAAGTTACCATATGACCTACAATTCTACTCCTAAGCAGATCACAAAGAAATGAAAACGGCCAGGCACGGTGGTTCACACGCCTGTAATATCAGCACTTTGGGAGGCCGAGACAGGTGGATCACCTGAGATCAGGAGGTTCGTGATCAGCCTGACCAACATGGTAAAACTCTGTCTCTACTAAAAAATACAAAAATTAGCCAGGCATGGTGGCGGGCGCCTGCAGTCCCAGCTGCTTGGGACTGAGACTAAAGACTCCCTTGAGCCCGGGAGGCAGAGGTCGCGGTGAGGGAGATTGCACCACTGCACTCCAGCCTGGGCGACAGAGCAGGACTCCGTTTCAAATTTAAAAAAAAAAAAAAGGAAAACATAGGGGCCGGGCACAGGGGCTCAAGCCTGTAATCCCAATCCTTTGGGAGGCTGAGGCAGGCAGATCGCTTGAATCCAGGAGTTCGAGACCAGCCTGGGCAACATAGCAAGACTCGTCTCTACAAAATAAAAAATAAAAAAGCCAAATGTGGTGTTGCACACCTCTGGTCCCAGCTACTCGGGAGGCTGAGGTAGGAGAATCACTTGAGCCTGAGAGGTGGAGACTGCAGTAAGCTGTGATGGCACCACTGCACTCCGCCTGGGTGATGGAGCAAAACCTGTCACCAAAAAAAAAAAAAAAAAAAAAAGAAATGAGAACATATCTTAATGCAAAAACATGTATATGCATTTTCATAGCAGCCTTATTTATAATAGCTAAAAAACTGGTGGTGGCTCATGACTGTAATCCCAGCACTTTAGGAGGCTGAGGCTGGCTGATCACGAGGTCAGGAGTTCGAGACCAGCCTGGCCAACACAGTGAAACCCCATCTCTACTAAAAATACAAAAATTAGCCGGGTGTGAGGGCACGCACCTGTAGTCCCAGCTACTTGGGAGGCTGAGGTGGGAGAATCGCTTGAACCCAGGAGGCGGAGGTTGCAGTGAGCCAAGACCCTGCCATTGCACTCCAGCCTGGGTGACAGAGTGAGACTCCGTCTCAAAAAAAAAAAAAGTTAAAAACTGGAAACAACTCAAATGCTCATCAACTGATGAATGAATAAACAAAATGTGAGGCCAGGTGCAATGGCTCATGCCTGCAGTCCCAACACTTTTGGAAGCCAAGGCGAGAGGATTGCTTGAACTCAGGAGTCCAAGATCTCCCTGATAGCAAGACTCCATTTCTACTAAAAATTTTTTTTTAATTAGTTAGGCATAGTGGTGTGCACCTCTAGTCCCAGCTACCCAAACTGAGGTGGGAGGACTGCTTGAGCCAGGGAGGTTGAGGCTGCAGTGAACTATGATTACACCATTGCACTTTAGCCTGGGCAACAGAGTGAGACCCGTTCTCCAAAAAAAAAAAGAAAGAAAGAAAAGAAAAAGGAAACAACTATGGCATGGTACAATGGAATATCATTCTGCTATAAAAAGGAATGGAGTGTTGATTCATGAAACAACATGGAAGAACCCTGACAACATTATGCTGAGTGAAAGCAGCTAGACAGAAAAAGGCCACATATTATGGGGTTTTTTGTTTGTTTGTTTTGAGATAGAGTGTCACTCTGTCACCCAGGCTGGAGTGCATTGGCACAATCATGGCTTACTGCAGCCTCCATCTCCTGGGCTCAAGTAATCCTCCCACCTCAGCTTCCTTAGTAGCTGGGACTACAGGCATGCACCACCATGCCCAGGTAATTTTTTTATTTTTTTGTAGAGACCTGGTCTAACTATGTTGCCCAGAGAGGTCTCCAACTCCTACACTCAAAAAATCATCCCACTTTGGCCTCCCAAAGTACTGGGATTGCAGACATGAGGCAACATGTCAGGCGTTTTTATGGTTCTTTTTATATGTTCTGTTAAGGATTGGCAAATCCAGGCCAAGTGTGGTGGCTCACGCCTGTAATCCCAGCACTTTGGGAGGCCGAGGCAGGTGGATCACCTAAGGTCAGGAGTTCAAGACCAGCCTGGCCGACATGGCAAAACCTTGTCTCTACTAAAAATACAAAAAATAGCCGGGTGTGGTGGCACGTGCCTGCAATCCCAGCTACTCAGGAGGCTGAGGCAGGAGGATCACTTGAACCCAGGAGACGGAGGTTGCAATGAGCCGAGATTGCGCCACTGCACTCCAGCCTAGGTGAGAGAGTGAGACTCTATCTCAAAAAAAAAAAAAAAAAAAAAAAAAAAAAGAATAGGCAAATCCATATAGACAGAAAGCAGATTAGTGATTTTCAGGGGATGGGAGAGGAGTGAAAGGAGAGTAATTGCTGTTGGTTATGAGGTTTCTTTCTGGGATGATCAAAATATTCTGGATTTTGTGGAATTAGTAGGTTATCTAATTTTCCAACCATAGGATGGTTGGGAAACGTTGTGAATATACTCAAAAGCACTGAATTATATATTTTAAAAGGGTAAATTTTATACTATGTGAATTATAAATCAGTTTTTAAAAACCCTAATTGAGGGACATTCTACAAACATTCGACCAGTAATCCCCAAAACTGTCAAGGTCATCAAAACAAAGTGAGAAAATGTCACAACCAAGAACAACCTTGAGACACATGAGTACTAGCTGTACTGTGATTTCCTGGGTGAGATCCTGGAACAGAAAAAGGGTATTTTAGAAAAACCAAAGACATCTGGATAAAGTATAAATTTCAGTTAATAAAAATGTACCAATATTGGTACATCAATGAAACAAGCGTAACATGTTAATAGGGGAAACATATGAGACACATGGGAACTCTCTCCTATCTTTGAAATAATTTTTAAATATAAACTGTTCTGAGGCCAGGTGCGGTGGCTCACACCTGTAATCCCAGCACTTTGGGAAGCCGAGGCGGGCAGATCACGAGGTCAGGAGATTCAGACCATCCTGGCCAACATGATGAAACCCCGTCTATACTAAAAATACAAAAATTAACTGGGCATGGTGGCATGCATCTGTAGTCCCAGCTACTCAGGAGGCTGAGGCAGGAGAATCACTCGAACCTGGGAGCTGGAGGTTGCAGTGAGCCAAGATCATGCCACTGCACTGTCCAGCCTGAGCGACAGAGTGAGACTCCATCTCAAAACATAAATAAAATAAAATAAAATAAAAAAGGAAGATTGCTATTTTGAGTTTTCGATTACATTGTGAAACACTGATGCAACATTAAGAAATTCTACAGCATGGCACATGTATACCTATGTAACTAATCTGCACATTGTGCACATGTACCCTAAAACTTAAAGTATAATAATAATAAATAAAATAAAATAAAAAAAGAATGGGAGGTATCAATATAAAAAAAAATTCTAGCAGAAAAGTGAGTGGTAGATTGAGACCCATTCCTCCGCCCCCTAACTTATTGAGAAGTAGAGGTCTTTTAACTGATATAAATTACTTTCTTTTTCCTTAGTTTCAGACAAGTATAAATAAAGTCCAACCCAGACATGGAAATAAGATGTGCTGCTACTTGGATAAAATACTTTTGGAAGGGGTGGAAAGATATTTTAAAACAAATACAACTGTATGACAAAACAAAATATAAAATTAGGTTATGTTTTTCTGTTTTGGTTTTTTTCTTTTTGAGACAGAGTCTCACTCTGTTGCCCAGGCTGGAGTGCAATAGCACGATCTCAGCTCACTGCAACCTCCGCCTCCCGGGTTCAGGCAATTCTCTACCTCAGCCTCCCAAGCAGCTGGGACTACAGGTGCATGTCACCATGCCCAGCTAATTTTTGTATTTTTAGTAGAGACGGGGATTCACCATAGTGGGCAGGCTGGTCTTGAACTCCTGACCTCGTGATCCACTTGCCTCTGCCTCCCAAAGTGCTGGGATTACAGGCGTGAGCCACCGCACCCAGCCTCAGGTTATGTTTTAAATACAAAATAATGTGAAGTTTTCCCTGTATAACTGCCACATCATCCCCAGTCCATCTTCCCTTCCATGAGGAGTACTTTTGTGGCAGGGTCTCTTAAATATAATATTTGTCTTTTAAAAAAGCACTTCTACTAATAGTAATCTGAAATAATTATACACACTAAAATATTTTTGAAAGCTGCATTTTGATATAACTAAAACAAATATAAAAGGCATATACATTATAAAATAATTTGAAGTAAAATAACCTTAAAATTTATGGAACATAAACAAAATATTGGAAATGATACTTTAGAGGGACTAACATCCTTCTTATAACAAAATTAAAAATTCAGAAGCAGAAATTCAATGTAATAAAACGAGAAAGACTAGATGGTTTGAAATCTGCACTCTATGTGAGCAGCTCTCTTTATTTTTATTTATTGTACAACCACATATCCTTACTATGCAGCAGATACTTTTCTAAGTACTTTAACATTAGTTCATTTAAAAATCATGTTCTGGATTCAGGACTAGATCCATAAAAAATTAAAAATAAATAAAAAACAAAAAATAAAAACCATGTGATGGCCACTGCAGGCTCATGCCTATAATCCCAATATTTTGGGAGGCTGAGCAGAGGGATCACCTGAGCCTTGGAGTTAGAGACTAGCCTGCATAACATAGGGAGACCCCATCTCTACTAAAAATACAAAAATTAGCTGGGCATGGTAGCACGTGCCTGTAGCTCCAGCCACTCAGGAAGTTGGGACAGGAAAATTGCTTGAGCACAGGAAGTCAAGGCTACAACGAGCCATGATTACATCACTGCACTCTAGTCTGGGTGATAGAGTGAGATTCCAAGACTTCGTCTCAAAAAAACAAAACAAAACAAAAAAACCGTGTGAGTTACTATTTCATTTCCATCTTTTCTTTTTATTTTTTTTAGAGACAGGGTCTCACTCTGTTACCCAGGCTAGAGTGCAGTGGCACAATCATGGGTCACTGCAGCCTCGACCTCCTAGGCTGAAGCTATCCTCCCACCTCAGCCTTCTGAGTACCTGGGATTACAGGCATAAGGAACCATGCCTGGCCCTATTTCCATCCCTTTTACAGATTAGGAAACTGATGCCCAGAAAAGAAAAGAACCGTACTCAAAGTCACACAGCTCTCAAGCATTTGAGCCCAGATTCAAGCCAAGCATTCTGATTCCAGTACTGCCAGCTCTCAACCACAACTCTTTGCTGCTCCTCTTCATTATAATTCTATTCCATAAGAAGTTTTTATAAATGCAAACATATAAACCTAAAGCCAAGGCAGAAAGATGGGTAAAAACACAAAACAGGACACACACACATTGAGCACTGGAGCCCAGGAACTAACCCAACAGGCCTTTCTGCTCAAAGCACCAAGTAACAGGAGCAGCCAACATGTTCCAGCCTTTTGCCTACATGCACCATCTGTCCCACAGGAAAGCAGGCAAGGGACAGCCTTGATGAGGAGAGAGAAATCTTTGCTGAATTTCTCCTCTCCCGCCTCAATCTAGGGAGCAGCTGGAAAAAGACTAGACTAATAGCAACCTTCTTAGAAAATCCCAAGATAGGCTCAGGAAGAGAATGAACAAGAAAAGAAAGTACCTACTCTTGAGAATGCACCAACTGGAACACAAGCAACAAAATAAAAAGCTCTTCACCCATGGCCTTTGCACATATTCTTACCATGCCTATGTTTTAGAAAAGAGAGCCCTTGACGGTCAGCAAACTATGCCAAATCCTGCCTGCTGCCTGTATATTTTTTTTTTAAAGAGATGGGGCCTTTCTATATTGCACAGGCTGGAGTGCAGTGGCACGATCACAGGTTTAATTATAGCACAATATAACCTTGCAGTCCTGGGCTCAAGTGATCCTCCTGCCTCAGCCTCTCAAGTAGGTGGGATTACAGGCATAGTGATATGCACAGGTACCTACCATTGCAACTGGCTGTGGTACTTTTTTTTTTTTTTTTTTTTTTTACATGGTGGGTGGGGGAAAGGGGGAGAGGAGGAAAGGAGGAAAGGATCCAAGGAAAAGTTTATTTTATGATGTGAACATTATATGAAGTTCAAATTTTAGTATCTATAAATAAAGTGTTCTTGGAACACAGCCACAGCCATTTGTTTATGTATTGTCTATGACTACAACCACACAGTTGAGTAGTTGTAACATAAACCATATGACCCACAAAGCTAAACATTTGTTATCTGACTGTGATAGTGATCTTATGTGTCAATGGGGCTAGGCCATGGTACCCAGATATTTGGTCAAACATTAACCTGGATGGTGCCACGATGGCATGTTTTGAGATGGGATTAACATTTAAATCAGTAGACTTTGAGTAAAGCAGATACCTTCTTTAATATGGGTGGACCTCATCCATTCAATTGAAACCCATAAGAGAAAACAAACCAAAGAAAAAGAAGATGAAATTCTCTCCAGACTGCCCTTGGTCTAGAGCTACAACATCAACTCTTCCCTGAATCCATAGCCTGCTCTGAAGATTTTGGACTAGCCAGCCTCCATAACCACATGACCAATTCTGAGAAAGAGAAACAGAGACTGAGACTATACACATCCTGTTAGTTCATTTTGTTTTTCTGGAGAACCCTAACACACACAGATTTCGGTAGCAAGAGTAGCTCTACCTGAACCAGATCTTAAGAATAAATTTTCTGAATTAGTTCTGGGGTTGGTTTCTGAAATTGGTACTCTAAACTAACTAGATTTAAAGGCATTAATTACGAGTAATCAAAAGAACACTAGCTAATTGCTTTTTGTATTTTTAGTACAGATGGGATTTCACCATGTTGGCCAGGCCACTCTCGAACTCCTGACCTCAGGTGATCCACCCACCTTGGCCTCCCAAAGTGCTGGGATCCCACAACGCCCAGCCCAGATACTTTAAATTAAATAAGTATAAAAGGCAAGGTTCTGGGTTAACATGTATGATACCTTCAAACATTTTGTCAAACTAACAAGTATAATGAGACTGTCTAGTTGCACCTAATTTCACTGAACAAAGTAGGGGGAAAATTAGCTCAGGGATTCAAACACCCAGCTCATGTGCTACATTAATGACCTGAAAAGCTGTAGTTTTGAGTGGATCCCAAAACAACAGAAGCTTCTGCAACAGGTCCAGGCTGCAACATAAATTTCTCTGCCTCTATGGTCACATGATTCTGCAAGAACCAATGATGCAGCCAGGTGTGGTGGCTCATGCCTGTAATCCCAGCACTCTGGGAGGCTGAGGCAGATAGATCACTTGAGGTCAGGAGTTCAAGACCAGCCTAGTCAACGTGGTGAAACCCCGTCTCTACTAAAAATACAAAAATTAGCTGAGTATGGTAGTGCACCCCTGTAATCCCAGCTACTCAGGAGGCTGAGGCATGAGAATTGCTTGAACCTGGGAGACAGCGGCTGCAGTGAGCCAGGATCATGCCACTGCACTCCAGCCTGGGAAACAGGGCGAGACCCTGTCTCGAAAAATAAAAAAATTAAAAAAAAAAGAACCAATAATGCTTGAAGTGTCAGTAGCAGACAGTAATGTCTTTTGGAGCTTTTTGCAGGCCCCCATTGGTAAGTTGCAGCATAGGCCTTTAGGATATTGGAGCAAAGCCCTGCTATCCTCTGTAGTTAACTACCCTCCTTTTGAGAAACAGCTGTTGGCCTGCTACTGGGCATTAGTGGAGACTAAAGGCTTAACCATAGGACACCAAGTTACCATGTAACCTAAGCTGCCCTTCATGAACTGGGTGTTATCTTACCAGCCCAGCTGTAAAGTTAAGCCTACACAGCCAGAACATGATCTGAAGACACAACTAAGTCACATGAAGAAGTGGCTCAAATGTCCACGGCCCCCACTCCTGCTACACTGCTTTCTCTATCCCAGCTGCACCTATGGCTCATGGGGGGTTCCCTTCAATCAGATGATGGAAAAAGAGAAGACTCAGGCCTGGTTTACAGATGGTTCTACAAAACATGCACATACCACCCAGAAGTGGACAACTGCTGCACTACAGAGCCTTTCTGAAGACCTCCCTGAAGAAGAGTGGTGAAGACAAATCCTCCCAGTGGGTAAAGCTTGGGACAGTGTTCCTGGTTGTTTATTTTGTTTGGAAGGACATATGGCCAGATATACAATTATATACCAATTTATAGGCCGTGGTCAATGGTTTGGCTGGTCAGTAATGTGGAAGGAGCATGATTGGAAAATTGGTGACAAGGAAGCCTTGGGAAGAGATAGATGGACTTATAGATAGACCCCTCTAAATCAGCCCCAAAAAAAAAAAAAGGTAAAGACATTTGTGGCCATGTGAATGCCCACTCAGCAGAGGAGGATTTTTATGACAAAGTGGATAGGGTGACCTGTTTCATATGTACAGTCAGGCTCATTTTTCTGTCATTGCCCAATGGGATTATAAACGAAGTGGCCATGATGGCAGGGATGAAGGTTACGCATGGGTTTGGCCACATGAACTCCCATTCACCAAGACCAACCTAACTATGGCCACCACTGAGTGCCCAATCTACCCTCAGCAGAGACCAACACTGAGTCTCCACTATGGTACCATTCCCCACAGTGATCAGGTAGCTACCTGGTGGCAGGTTGATTACACTGAATCCCCTCCATCATGGAAGGGCCAGTGTTTTGTCCTGACTAGAACAGATGCTTACTCTGGATACAGATTTGCTTACACTGCATGCAATGCTTCTGTCAAAAGTTCCCTCTGTAAAATCACAAAATGCCTTAACCACTATCATAGTATTCCAAACAACATCGCTTCTGACCAAGGAACTCACTTCATAGCAAAGGAAATGCAGCAATGGGCCCATGCTCATGGAATTTGGTGGTCTTACCATGTTCCCCGCCATCCTAAGGCAGATGATTTCATAGAATGGTGGAAAGGCCTTTTGAAGATTCAGTTACAGTACCAGCTATTTGGTAATACTTTACAGGACTGGGGTAAGGCTTTTCAGGAGGCTGTATACTGTCTGAGTCAGTGTCCAATATATTGCTGTTTCTCCCATAGTCGGGGTTGACAAGTCTAGAAACCAAAAGATAGAAATGGGAGTGGCAGCCCTCCACAAATATCCCTAGTTGACCAACTAGCAAAATTTGTGTTTCCTGTCCCCATGATCTCATACTCTTCTGGTCTGGCAGTCTTAGTTCCAACAGCAGGAATATTTCCATCAGTAGATATAGCAGTAATTGGACTGAAGTAGAAGTTAGGACTGCCATCTAGGCCGGGCACGGTGGCTCATGCCTGTAATCCCAGCACTTTGGGAGGCCAAGGTGGGTGGATCACGAGGTCAGGAGTTCAAGACCAGCCTGGCCAAGATGGTGAAACCCCATCTCTACTGAAAATACAAAAATTAGCTGGGCACAGTGGCAGGCACCTGTAATCCCAACTACTGGGGAGGCTGAGGCAGAAGAATTGTTTGAACCCCGGGCAGCAGAGGTTGCAGTGAGCTGAGATTGCGCCACTGCACTGCAGCCTGGGTGACAGAGTGAGACTCTGTCTAAAAAATAAATAAATAAATAAATAAATAAAAACAAAAAACTGCCATCTAACCCTTTTAGGCTCCTCATGCCTTTGAATCAACAAAGAAGGGAATTGTTGTGCTGGCTAGTGCCACTCATCCTGATTACCAAGGAGAAACTGGACTTCTGCTTCACAAAGGAAGTAAGGAAGAATACATATGAAGTACAAGGGATCCCTTAGGGTATTTCAGGATTAACCAAGCTCTGTGACCAAAGCCCATGGAAAACTCTAACAACGAAATTCAGGCAGGACTATGACTGGCCTAGACCCTTCAGAAATCAAAGGTTTGGGTCACCCCACCAGATAAATAATCACAACCAGCCGTGGTGCTTGCTGAGGACAATGGAAATACATAATGAGTAGTAGACAAAGGTAATTACAAATATGAGCTGTGACCACCTGACCAGTTACAGAAATCAGAACTGTAATTGTCTTGAGTATTTCATCTTTTATAAATAGGTTTGTGTATGTGCCTGTGTGTATATAAAATGTCATTGTTAGGCCGGGTGCAGTGGCTCACGCCTATAATCCCAGCACTTTGGGAGGCCAAGGCAGATGGATCACCTGAGCTCAGGAGTTCAAGACCAGCCTAGCCAACATGTTAAAACCCCGTATCTACTAAAAATACAAAAATTAGCCAGGCATGGTAGTGTGCACCTGTGGTCTCAGCTACTCAGGAGGCTGAGGTAGGAGAGTCGCTTGAACCTGGGAGGCGAAGGTTGCAGCGAGCCAAGATTGTGCCACTGCACTCCAGCCTGGGCTGTGAGACTCTGTCTCAAAACAAAAACAAAAACAAAAGAAAACAGATTAAGATCTCTTGAGGAAGAGAGGGAATTCTGCCTTCAGACTAGTTTCAGACTTAACACTTAACACCGCAACTCTTCCCTGGGTCTCCAGACTGCCAGCCTAGTCTGCAGATTTTTGACTTGCAAGACTGTACCATCATGTAAGCCAATTTCTTAAAATAAATTTAAAATAAATCTCACCTCTTTTTCACTCACACACACAAACACACACACACACACACAGCTCCTTTAGAGGAAAATTTGCTGACACCTGCCTTAGACACCGCCTACAGCACCAAAGTTGTCAGAACTCCTGGTCAGAATAGGATGATTAACAATCTTCCTCACTGCACGTAGTCCTACAAGTCACATTTGAAATACTGATTCTGAAATGTAAAGACTAAAAATATTTTTTAAAAAGAATGCAAAACATAGACAACTGGAATAGAATAGAGATCCCAGAAATAAACTCTTCCATATGGTCAAATGATTTTCAACAATTGTGCCAAGACCTTCAATGGGGAAAGGACAGCCTTTTCAACACGTGGTACTGGGAAAACTGGATATCCACATGCAAAAGAATGAAGTTGGACCCTTTCCTTACATCATATACAAAAATGAACTTGAAATGGATCAGAGACCTAAATATAAGACCTAAAGCTATAAAACTGTCAGGAAAAAACGCTTCATAACATTGCATTTGGCAATGATTTCTTGACTACAACACCAAAAGCTAAGGAAACACAAAAATAGATAAACTGGAGTATATCAAAATCAAAACCTTCTGTGCATCAAAGGACACAATCAACAGAGTGAAAAGGCAACACACAGAATGGGAGAAAATATTTGCAAATCATATATTTGATAAGATGTTAATAGTCCGAATAGATATAAGACTCCTCAGCCAGGCACAGTGGCTCATGCCTGTAAGCCTAGCATTTGGGGAGGCCAAGGTGAGTGAATCACAGGAGGCCAATGGTTTGAGACCAGCCTGGCCAACATGGTGAAATCACATCTCTAATAAAAATACAAAAATTAGCTGGGCATGGTGGTACACGTCTGTAATCCCAGTTACTTGTGAGGCTGAAGCAAGAGAATTGCTTGAACCCGGAAGGTGGAGGTTGCAGTGAGCCAAGATCACACCATTGTACTCCAGCCTGAGCGATAGAGTGAGACTCTGTATCAAAAAGAAAAAAAAAAAAAGAAGAATTCTATAATCAACTTTAAAAAAAAAAAAAACCTGATTTTAAAATGGGCCAAGCCAGGTGCAGCGGCTCACGCCTGTAATCCCAGTACTTTGGGAGGCCGAGGTGGGTGGATCATTCGAAGTCAGGAGTTCGAGACCAGCGTGGTTAACACGGTGAAACCCCGTCTCTACTAAAGATACAAAAATTGACCAGGCATGGTGGTGCACATCTGTAATCTCAGCTACTCATGAGGTTGAGGCAGGAGAATTGCTTGATCCCAGGAGACGGAGGTTGCAGTGAGCCGAGATTGGGCCATTGCACACCAGCCTGGGCAACAGAAAGAGACTCCATCTCAATAAATAAATACATACATATATACATACATAAAAATGGGCAAACGTCTTAATAAGAATTCTCCAAAGACATACAAATGGCCAAGAAGCACATCCAAAGATGCTCAGCATCACTAATCATCAGGGAAATCAAAATCAAAATCAAAATCACAGTGAGATACCACTTCACACCCATTTGGATGGCTACTATAAAACACAGAAGAAACAGAACGTAAGTCATGGTGAAGACCAGAGGAATTGAAAACCTTGTATAATGTTGGTAGGAATGGAAAATTTTTACAGCCACTATGCAAAACACTATGTGGTTTCCTAAAAAAAATGCAACAGAAGAATTACCATGTGTTCTGGGTTTTCTTAGCTTCTGTGTTTGACTATTTGGGATCCGTTCATCACCAAGCCAATTATATTAACTATATCTTATTTTCTGTATTTTTGTTGCTCTGGCTTTTGAGGGCCTTGCAAATCATGGGAGAGAATGTCCTTCCCAAAGCTAGCTAATTCTCGAATATAATAACAATTTGTCTATAAGCATGTCTTTCATATGCCAAACAACCAATCCCAGTCTGTAGCCCAGCCAACTCCTTAGCTAACTCTCGCTGGCCACTATTTCCCATATTCTATATACCCAGGGCACAAACCAAGTCACTAGAGACCATCCCTGTAGCCCAAAGCCAACCAGAATTATTTAAACTAACCCATCCTATGCTCAAACCTGCCCTGTGTTTCCCTTGGAGTCCCCAGTAAAGGCTTTGCCCTAGATTTTTCCCTTCACTCCTATCTTCTGCCTCCTGACCAAAACCTAGTGCTCCTCACGTGATGTGGTGTAGTGTGGCATGCCCCCTTTCTGGGAAAATGTAAGTAATAAAAATCTTCAATTGGCCAGGCATGGTGGCTCACACATGTAATCCCAGCACTTTCGGAGGCCAAGGCAGGCAGATCACTTGAGGTCAGGAGTTCAAGACCAGACAGTGCTAGATTTAGCACTGTCACTTCAAGGTTATATCTAAAAGAATTAGAAGCAGAAGGCCAGGCATGGTGGCTCACACCTGTAATACCAGCACTTTGGGAGGCCAAGGTGGGTGGATCACTTGAGTTCAAGAGTTTGAGACCTGCCTGGCCAACATGGTGAAACCCCCAATCTACCAAAAATATAAAAAGTTCGCCTGGTGTGTTGGTTTGAGCCTGTAATTCCAGCTACTTGAGAGGCTGAGGCAGGAGAATCAAGCGAAAATCGCTTGAACCTGGGAGGTGGAGGTTGCAGTGAGCCGAGATCATGGCGTGGCACTGGACTCCAGCCTGGGCGAAAGAGCAAGGCTCCAGCTCAAAAAAAAAAAAAACGAATTAGAAGCAGAAACTCAAAGAGGTATCTGCACACCCATGTTCATAGCAGCATTATTTGCATTACCCAAAAGGCAGAAGCAACCTAAACATCCACTGATGGATTAATAAATAAAATGTAATGCATACATGCAATGGAGTATCATTCAACCTCAAAAAGGAAGTACATTCTGATGCATGCTACAACATGGATGAATTTTGGAAACACTACACAGAATGAAATAAGCCTGTCACAAAAGGACAAATACTGTATGATTCCATTTATACGAGATATCCAGACTAATCAAATGTCATGGAGACAGGAAGTAGAATGGTGGTTGCCAGGGGATGGGGTGTGGGGAGGAGGAAACGGAGTTATTATTTAATGGGCAATTTTCAGTTTTGTAAGACAAAAAGTTCTAGAGCTAGACAGTGGTGATGGTTGCACATCAATGTGAATGCACTTAGTGCCCCTGAAACGGGTAAGATGAAAATTTTATGTAATGTTTTTACAATTTAAAAAGTGCAAAGCATTATCAAAAAGTAGCAAATACACTAGATTCACATGAAAAGCAAGTCAAGATGAAATTTTTTTTTAATTAAAAAAATTTTTAGAGACAGTCTTGCTCTGTCATCCAGGCTAGAGTACAGTGGTGAGATCATGGCTTGAACTCTTAGGCTCAAGCAGTCCTCCCACCTCAGCCTCCTGAGTAGCTGGGACTACAGGTGCACATCACCATGCCTGTTTTGTTTTTGTCTTGCTTTTTCGTTTTTTTTGTTTTGTTTTGTTTTGTAAATACAGGGTATCACTGAAAATTTTTTAAATACTAAAAAGTGTCAATAATTATACATTTCTAGGGAAATTGTTTTGATTTTTTTGTTTGTTTGTTTGTTTTAGACGGAGTCTCGCTCTGTCGCCAGGCTGGAGTGGTGTGGCATGATCTCGTCTTGCTGCAATCTCCGGCTCCCTGGTTCAAGTGATTCTCCTGCCTCAGCCTCCCAAGTAGCTGGAATTAGAGGCACGCACCACCATGCCCAGCTAATTTTTGTATGTTTAGTAGAGAGAGTTTCACCACGTTGGCCAGGATTGTCTCGATCTCCTGACCTCATGATCCACCTACCTCAGCCTCCCAAAGTGCTGGGATTACACACGTGAGCCATCGCACCTGGCCGGTTTTATTACTTTATAAGTTACTGGCAAGATACATTTATTTCTCATCAGCAGTAAATTCCATTGATAACTGAAAATAAGTAAAATATTTCTTTGGTCCCTGATGTGGTTTGAGTCTGTGCCCCCATCCAAATTTCATGTCAAATTGTAATCCCCAATGTTGGACGTGGGGCCTGGTGGGATGTGACTAGATCACAGGGGTGGATTTCCCCTTTGGTGCTCTTCTTGTGATATATCACAAGATCTGGTTGTCTGAAAGTGTGTGGAACCTCCTCCCCTTGCTCTCTCTCTCCTGCTTCTGCCATGTAAAGATGTGCCTGACTCCCCTCTGCCTTCTGCCATGATGCAAGTTTCTTAGGGACTCCCCAGCCATGATTCCTTTAGAGCCTTCAGAACCATTAGCCAATTAAACCTCTTTTCTTTATAAATTACCCAGGCTCGGGTAGTTCTTTATAGCAGTGCAGGAATGGACCAATACAGTCCCCAATTTCCTGACCTAACTATCACTAGGCCCTTGGTCCAAATTTGTACCATGTTCAAATCTGACTCCGTTTCTGCCAAAATTCTGGTTTCCAACACCTTCACAGTTCAGCACCGCCATCCCTACCAGATATCAGGAACATGGGCTTTCTGAAAATTAACATGGGAGCCTAACTTGGCCTCCTAATTCTGGATGCCAAGCAGCAAATTAAGCTTTCTCTAATTCTCACCACAAAGTTTTACACAAAATCATGGAATATAAAGAAGTATCTTTTGGCAGCAGGTTCAGAATTCACAGGAAAGTTGCAGTCATCTTCAGTGGGAGATTAGGTGCAAAAGGGAGAAATAACACAATTTTTTTTTTTTTTTGAGACAGAGTCTTGCTCTGTTGCCCAGGCGGGAGTGCAGTGGCATGATCTCGGCTTACCACAACCTCCGCCTCCTGGGTTCAAGTGATTCTCCTGCCTCAGCCTCTCAAGTAGCTGGGACTTCAGGCATGCGCTACCATGCCCAGCTAATTTTTGTATTTTTAGTAGAGACGTGGTTTTCACTATGTTGGCCAGGCTGGTCTTGAACTGACCTCGTGATCCACCCACCTTGGCCTCCCAAAGTACTGGGATTACAGGGGTGAGCCACCGCACCCAGCCCATGATTTTTAATTCTTCTCTGTCTGGCCCCAAAGAGTGAGCACCCATAGTCCACTTTTTCCAGAAGCAAGAAGGACTTTCTTATGCTCAACCTTATTTTAGGGCAACTTTTCAGACTCCACTGCTCTGAAAACTCTCCTGTTTAAAACTTCCCTTGATTATATTTGCTCCAAATAGATCACACATGCTTGAGATGACATGTTTAAAGCAAATGACCTCCAGTCCAGACTTCTTGGCGTGGGCAGGACTCCTTAAAAACACTGCAGCCTCCTCTCTCTTCCTTACCTTGTTCCCAAAATGCTTCCCACTTCCCACTCAAGAAACAAAACATTCCCTATCCACTCATGGTCCTGTCACATCCAAATCTTAGCTCAGATTCTTGCCTCCTAACTTACAGAATCTCTTTCTCCATCCTTCTGTTCTCAGCTTGAACCCTTCAGAAAGCTTCTCAGGAATGTTTTGCAGGCAGAGACCCATTCACAAAGCACAATCCCTACATCAGTACTTATATTTATGTTTCATATGATCTCACCTATTAAACAAAAATCGAACTTTTTTTTTTTTGGAGACAAAGTCTCGCTCTGTTGCCCATGCTGGAGTGTAGCGGCATGATCTCGGCTCACTGCAACCTCAACCTCCCGGGTTCAGGCAATTCTCCTGCCTCAGCCTCACGAGTAGCTGGGACTATACGGGCATGCTGCCATGCCCAGCTAGATTTTTGTATTTTAGTAGAGATGGGGTTTGACTGTGTTGCCCAGGCTGGTCTCGAACTCCTGAGGTCAGGCAACCGGCCTGCAACGGCCTCCCAAAGTGCTGTGATTACAGGTGTGAGCCACTGAACCCGGCACAAAAATTTAACTTCTACTAGACTGAAACCTCTGTGATGAAAGCACTTTTATCTTGCTAACTTGTGATCTCCCAACAAAATATGCACAAGCAACTGAGTACCTGCCCCCATCTGGCCATATAAATCAGAGGTCAGCCAAGCACGGTGGCTCATGCCTATAATCCCAGCACTTTGGGAGGCTGAGGCAGGCAGATCACTTGAGCTCAGGAGTTTAAGACCAGCCTGGGAAATATGGTGAAACCCCGTCTCTACCAAAAATACAAAAGATTAGCTGGGAGCGGAGGCACACGCCTCTGCTTCCAGCTACTCAGAAGGCTGAGATAGGATTGCTTGAGCCCGGCGGGTGGAGGTTGCAGTGAGCTGAGATGACGCCACTGCTTTATAGCCTGGATGACAGAGTGAAACCCCATTTCAAATAATAATCAATCAATGAATCAGGCAGAGATCAGCAGCCTTTTTCTGTAGAGAGGAGAGCCAGAGAGTAAATATTTTAGGCTTTGAGGACGATCACTCACAACTACTCAACCTTTGTAGTGTGAAGTGTGAAAGCAGTCACAGACAATATGTAAACAAGTGGGCATGAGTGTATTCCAATAAAACTTCACTTATGGACCGTGAAATTTGAATCTTATATAATTTTTATTAAATGCTATTCTTTTGCTTTTTTCAAGTATTTATTTATTTTATTTTTTGAGACAGAGTCTCACTCTGTTGCCCAGGCTAGAGTGCAATGGCATGATCTCGGCTCACTGCAACCTCCGCCTCCCAGGTTCAAATGATTCTCCTGCCTCAGCCTCCTGAGTAGCTGGGACTACAGGCATGCACCACCACACCCAGCTAATTTTTGTATTTTTAATAGAGACGGGGTTTCACCATGTTGGCCAGGCTGGTCTCGAACTCCCAAACTCAGGTGATTCGCCCGCCTCGGCCTCCCAAAGTGATGGGATTACAGGTGTGAGCCACCGCACCTGGCTCAAGTATTTAAAACCATAAAAAACTTTGTTAGCTCACAAGCCATACATGTATGCATAGCAGTCCAAATTTAGCCACAGGTTGCACTTGGCTGACCCCTGGTATAAATTAATACAGACGGAGTCAGTCCCTAAATTTGTCTCCATGATCTCATTCTTTCTGTTTTCCAATTAGCCTGTGGACTTCCCCGTATCTTACCAGAAGACTGCCTTGATGAAAATCCTTCAATGAATGCCATGTACCCTCTACTCAATGGGCCTGCCCACCTGGTAGACCCCACACCTTGTCTCCTCTTCTGTTTCTCCTTATACCTGTAAGTCAGGACTTCTGCCCTTCTGGCAATCCCTTTGATGTGTTCAGTTCCCTTGACTGTGAATGGCCATCAAATTCTCCTCTATTTTTAGTAGAAACAGGGTTTCATCATGATGTCCAGCCTGGTCTCGAACTCCTGACCTCAGGTGATCCGCCCACCTCAGCATCCTGAAGTGCTGGGATTACAGGCATGAGCCACCGTGCCCAGCCTAAGACCTAGGGGCTTGCCTCTGAACCCCAACTCAACCACCGTTTTCCCCAAGAATCCCCTCCCAGCCTCTCTCCTCTAGGCTCCTACACACACCATACTAAGCTCATTATCCTCTTGTAGATATCAGGTATGTCTGATTGTTTTTTTTTTTCTTTAAACCAGCCGCCCTCCAGAGCCACAGATGTTTTCCTAACAGCTGGCAAAAAGTCAACTTTTCTTTTCTTTTTGTTTTTTTGAGACAGGGTCTCATTCTGTCGCCCAGGCTAGAGCACAGTGGCATGGATCTTGGCTAACTGCAGCCTCAACTTCCCAGGCTCAAGTGATCCTCACACTTCAGTCTGTCAAGTAGCTAGGACTATCAGCACGCACCTCCAAGCCCGGCTAATTTTATTTTTTGTAGAGAAGAGGTCTCCCTGTGTTGCCCAGGCTGGTCTCAAACTCCTGGACTCAAGTAATCCTCCTGCCCCAGCCTCCCAAAGCGCTGGGATTACATGCATGAGCTCCATGCCCAGTCAAAAGTAAACTTTCAATCAAGATTACAGACTTGGCCAGGCATGGGGGCTCACGCCTGTAATCCCAGCACTTTGGGAGGCTGCGGCAGGTGGGTCACCTGAGGTCAGGAGTTCCAGACCAGCCTAACCAACATCGTGAAACCCCATCTCTACTAAAAATACAAAATTAGCTGGGTGTGGCGGCACATGCCTGTAATCCCAGCTACTTTGGAGGCTGAGGCAAGAGAACCACTTGAACCTGAGAGGCCAAGGTTGCAGTGAGCCGAGATTGTGTCATTGCACTCCAGCCTGGGCAACAAGAGTGAAACTCTGTCTCAAAGGAAAAAAAAAAAAACATTTACAGACTCAATGACTCTTATTGGTGGAATACACATTATGATTGACAGAGATAGTCTTCTTGACCAAACTCTAGCCAGGTTCCTCTGAGCTGCCTTCTCAACTAGGTCTTACGCTGGGCACAGTGGCTCATGCCTGGAATCCCAGCACTTCAGGAGGCTGAGGCAGGCGGATCACCTGAGGTCAGGAGTTCAAGACCAGCCTGGACATCATGGTGAAACCCCGTTTCTACTAAAGTACAAAAATTGGCCAGTCGTGGTGGCGAGCACCTGTAATGCCAGCTCCTCGGGAGGCTGAGGCAGGAGAATCACTTGAACCCAGGAGGCGGAGGGTGCAGTGAGCCAAGATCGCACCATTGCACTTCAGCCTGGGCAACAAGAGCAAAACTCCATCTCAAAAAACAAAGAAACAAAGTCAGTCTTAACCCTGGCCTATAAATATTTGAACAAAATACTAACATAGATTCTAGCATCTCAAGGCCATATCCCCTGGTTGACTGTATCCCCCTTAAATAGCCTGCCTGAAAAAAGTGAAGCCTCCCAAATGAATTTACTCTTTGTTCCAGCCAACAGCAGAAGATAGGGCCCCTGTCTCCTGGCCTCTGTGCGAGGGTCATAGTCTAACTTCAAACAGCACCAGTTAGCAATCCCAGGTAGGTTTTACATGGAACCACCACTTTTGGTAAATTTTTACTTCTCTGACTCAACTGAGCATACCCTACCCCACAACTCAACTCCCTCCTATTCCCTGATTTTCCCTTTGTGGGTGAAGCAAAGTCTTTTTTTTTTTTTTTTTTTTTTTTTTTTTTGAGACAGGTTCTCACTCTGTCACCCAGGCTACAGTAAAGTGGTGAGATCTTGGCTCACTGCAACCTCTGTCTCCTCAAGTTCAAGGGATTCTCCCACCTCAGCCCCCTGAGTAGCTGGGACTACAGCCATGTGCCACCATTCCCTGCTAATTTTTGTATTTTTGTAGAGACAGTGTTTCACGATGTTGCCCAGGCTGGTCTCGAACTCCAGAACTCAAGCCATTCACCCCCCGCCCCTCCACCTCCCAAAGTGTAGGATTACAAGCGTGTGGCACCCCGCCCAGCCTAGGTCTTGATGTATTGCCCAGGCTGGTCTCAAACCCCTGGCTCAAGCAATCCTTCTGCCTCAGCCTCTGCAGTAGCTTCATTCCAGTGTCCAGTAGACACCCAGCTTCATTCTTCCTTTAAAATACCCAGTCACCTCTGTACACACCAAAGTTGAGTTCAGTTCATGCTGGACTTTCTTCACGATTACAATAGTTATTAGTGATTAAAATGTGTCCTTACCACTATAACTAATACCCAGCTTTTGTTTTTCTTTAACATAATTAAGGTAGAAAAAACTGGAATAAAATCATTCAGTATATCCTGGCAGCATTATTAATACAGACAGGGGCCAAGGAAGGAAATGTTGTGCCAGGCAAAAATAAAAACCAGAAGAAGCAAAACTAATTGCAAAGTTCCTAGTAATCAAATAATATGACTTTTTTAAAAGTTAGCTTGTAGTAACGTACTCTCAACTAGAAAAAAGTTTTATAGAATTTATTAAAGCTCACTTTTTTGTTTTTTGAGACAGAGTCTCACTCTGTCGCCCAGGCTGGAGTGCAGTGGTGTGATCTTGGCTCACTGCACCCACTAGGGCTCCCCACCTCAGCCTCTTGAGTAGCTGGGACTACAGGTGTGCACCACCATGCCTGGCTAATTTTTTTTTTTTTTTTCTGAGACAGACTCTTGCTTTGTCGCCCAAGCTGGAGTACAGTGGCACAATCTTGGCTCGCTGCAACCTCCACCTCCCAGGTTCAAGCAATTCTCCTGCCTCAGCCTCCCGAGTAGCTGGGCTTACAGATGCTCACCACCATGCCCTGCTAATTTTTTATTTTTAGTAGAGACGGGGTTTCACCATGTTGGCCAGTCTGGTCTTGAACTCCTGACCTCGGGATCCACCCGGCCCGGCCTCCCAAAGTACTGGGATTTACTGGGATTACAGGCGTGAGCCACTGCACCCAGACTTTTTTTTTTTTTTTTTTTGTATTTTTGTAGAGACAGGGTTTCCCTATGTTTCCCAGGCCGGTCTCAAATTCCTGAGCTCAGGTGATCCTCCCTTCTCAGTCTCCCAAAGTGCTGGGATTACAGGTGTACCACAGCCAGCAAAGCTGAGTTCTAATAAGGTATAGGTGAACCTAGACAGATTTCTGAAGGCAATAATCTATATTCTGAGAATTTAAGGACATAGGCAAAATAAAAAATATCTATGCATAAAATATTTTTTGCCCTCATGTAAAATAATATATTTCTCCATCTCATCATTGAAATAAAAAGAAACCTAATAAATCATCTATTTAACATTTACTCATAGACCCAATCACTATGAAAGATCAGTCTTGAACAGTTTTTTTTTTTTTTTTTTTGGACTGTGGTGTAATTTTTATATTTTTTATCTAGAAAAAAATTTATTATTTTTATTTATTTATTTTTGAGATGGAGTCTCGCTCTGTCACCCAGGCTGGAGTGCAGTGGCACAATCTCGGCTCACTGCAAGCTCGCCCTGTCACTACAGGCACCTGCCACCACGCCCAGAGAATTTTTTGTATTTTTGGTGGAGACAGGGTTTCACCGCGTTAGCCAGGAGGGTCTTGATCTCCTGACCTCGTGATCCACCCGCCTTGGCCTCCCAAAGTGCTGGGATTATAGGTGTGAGCCACCGTGCCTGGCCATTTTTTTATTGATACATAATAGATGTACATGTGTTCAGGTTGATTCTTTGAGCAAATTTGTTACTGTCTCAATTGATTTTATTTGAAAAATAAAAATATGTAATTTTTGCTCTTGCAGAAACTGATACTGACAGAAAAATCATCACATGGACCCTGCTCTCATGCTGTCTACCATTCAACAGGAAAATAAAATATGCTGGACTCCACTTGGAAGAAAATGTGTTTATGCCTTTTTAGGAAGTCGTGTGGCAGCCCCATAGAGAGTTGGCTGGGTCTCAGCCCAGGGCCCTGGGCCATTTCTGCCACCCAGAACTCAAGGAGACAGTCTGCCACCCTCATGAGGGGACACCCAACTGACAGGGTACCTGCAGCTTCCCTGAGCTTCCCAGGTGCCTGCAAGTATTCCCCATCTTCCTAGACCTGGCCCCTTTCACTGCAGAAGCCTGCTTACATTTATCTGAAAATTTTAAAAGTTTAATATTAAATCTATGATGTGTGTATGATGATGCTCCTCTTGTCTGGCAACTGATGAGAGGAAAGGGGACCCTAGGAGGCAAGGGGGAGAGTAGGGAAAGAGATGAAACAGAAATGGGGTGACACTCACTGGGAGAGAGGGTTCTTAATGTGGAAGGAAGCTCTACAAATAGGAAGGCAAGGAAAAACCCTGCGGTGTAGATTGGGATGGAAAATATCACTATAAATACATGAAGATATATATACACATACACACATATAGCTACATACATATATACACAATACATATAGTCACATACATATAGCTATATCTTTATATCCCGTATATCTGGAAGGGCCTAAAAGCAATAACATACCAGTAGCACCAAGACCTTGGTTTCTAAGTACGCTTCTCCACAATAGAAATCAGGATTCCTTGGAAAAAACACAGCTGATTTAATAGTGGGGACAAGAGAGATACAACATGAGCTTGGAATGTGTTCTGAGGTCATGTATCTAAATGGGGTCAGTATCTAAAAATTGGAGCTGGGAGTGATGGCTCACACCTGTAATCCTAGCACTTTGGGAGACCACGGCAGGAAGATTGTTTTAGGCCAGGAGTTTGAGACTAGCCTGGGCAACATGGCAAGACCCCACCTTTATAGAAAATTAAAAAAAAATAGCTAGGCATGATGGCATGTGCCTGTAGCTACTCCAGAAGCTGAGGCAGGAGGATTGTTTGAGCTGCAGTGAGCCGTGCTTATGCCATGCCTGGGTGACAGGGCAAGACCCTGTTTCAAAAAAAATAAAAGAGGGAAAATTACAGCTAGATAGAGAAAACAAGTTCTAATGTTCTGCAGCACTGTAGAATGACAATTTTTTTTGATACTGACCATTATTTATAATTGTGATTATTAATCACAATTCTACTCTCTACTTCTATGAGGTCAACTTTTTAAGCTATTTATATTTCTGTGCCTGGCTTATTTCATTTAACATAATGTCCTCCAGTTCCATCCATGCTGCTGTGAATGTCCAGATCTCATTCTTTTTTTATGGCTAAATAGTATTCCATTGTGTATATGCACCACATTTTTTTAATCCATTTGTCTGTTGATGAACACTTCGGTGGATTCCATATCTTGGCTATCGTGAATAATGCTGCAATGAACACAAGAGTGCAGCTCTCTCTTCAATACACTGATTTAACTTTGGATAAATACTCAGTAGTGGAATTGCTGGTTCACAGGGTAGTTCCATTTGTAGTTTTTTGAGGACTCTGCATACTGTTTTCCATAATGACTATACTAATTCACATTCCCACCAAAAGTATAGGAGAGTTCCCTGTCATCTGCATCCTCATCAGCATTTATTTTTATGTCTTTGTGATAACAGCAAATTCTAACTGGGATGAGATGATATCTCATTGTGGTTTTGATTTATATTTCCTTGATGATTAAATGTTGAAAGAATGGTTTAGCCATAAAACATCATTTTGACGACCACAATAGTAAACACCGTGTTGTGCCAACCAAAACAGCATCAGTAGAATCCAGTCTTAAGAACACTTCAGATGGACTCAAGCTGAGGACATTCCGTAACATACCTAGCATGCATGCTTCAAAAGTCACAAACACATGAAAGGCAAAGGCAGGCAGAGGAACCATTTCAGAGGAAAGATATTAAACATTATGGCAGACTGATAAGATACTTAGTGCCAAACAAGATATTTAACATGAAAAAGCTATAAAAAACATTATTGGGGCAAATGAAGAAACTGGGTTATGGCCTGTAGATTAGATAAAATAATTGTATAAATGTTATATTTCCTGAATTAATATCTTTACTATGATTATCCAAACGTATATCCCGGTTCTCAGGAAATGCATTAGGGACATGATGTCTGCAACCTTCTCTCAAAGTGGTCAAAAGTAAAAAAAAAAAAAAAAAAAAAAAAAAAAAAAAAAAAAAAAAATTTAAAAACTTTATAAGCAGTGGGAAACAGAGGGAGAAAAAAAAGAGGGAAAGGAGGCCAGGCTTGGTGGCTCATGCCTGTAATCAAAACACTTTGGGATGTCAAGGTGGGAGGATCACTTGAGCCTAGGAGTTTGAGACCAGCCTAGGCAACATGGCAAGATCCTGTCTCTATAAAAAATTTTAAAAATTAGCCAGGTACGGTAGCATATGACTGTAGTCCCAGCTATTCTGGAGGCTCAGGCAGGAGGTTTCTTTGAACCCAGGAGTTTGAAATGCCATTGAGCTATGATTATGCCATTGCACCCCAGCCTGGGTGACAAACCAAGATCATGTCTCCAAAAAAAAAGAAAAGGGGGAGAAATGAAAGAGGGAGGGAAGGAGAAAAATTGATTAAATAATGTGAAAAAATATTAGTATTTGTGAATCTGGATAAAGGGTAGGTTTTTTTTAAAATATTCTTTTAAGCAACAGGGTCTCACTCTGTCACCCAGGCTGGAGTGCAGTGGTGTGATCATGGTCTAGTGCAGCCTCTAACTCCTGTACCCAAGCGATCCTCCTGCCTCAGCCTCCTGAGTGGCTGGGACGATAGGCATGCAACACCACACCCAACTAACTTTTACATTTTTTTTTTCTGTAGAGAGGAGGTCTCATTATGCTACCCAGGCTGGTCTCAAACTCCTGGCCTCAAGCAATCCACCCATCTCAGCCTCCCACGGTGCTGGGATTATACCCGTGAGCCAGCACACCTGCTACTAATATTCTTTTAACTTCTGTAAGTTTAAGGTTGTTTCAAAGTAAAAATTTAAAATAAAATAGCATGGATACATCTATTTGTTAAAAAGTGCAAAAAAAAAACCAGAATCCATGTATGTACTTACAAAATATAAATAAAATTCCTCTGGAAGACACATAGGCAATGATATCACATTTGCCTCTGAATTGGAAGGAATATAACAGCATGGTGAAGAAGCAGGGATACAAGCAGAATGTCTGCATAATTTATCATTCAAACTAGCACACTTCTGAGAGAAAGCAGGATTATTCATAATCATGTCAGGACAATAATTTATGTGTGCATCTGTGCCAGGCAAAAGGGGATATATTGTCATTACGGGTGGAAAGAGATGACTTCTTACTGTATGCCTTTCGTATATTTTGATTTTTAACTATGTAAACATATTATTCAAATATATAAATAAAAATTTACATATATAATTTAAAAAGGAATCACCTACTCAATATAATAAAAGTTGGAAAATTATTAAAATATCCTTACAATAGAATCTAAAGTAGCTATTTAAAGAATGAGGGGCCTGGCACAGTGGCTCATGCCTGCAATCTCAGCACTTTGGACAGAAGGACTGCTTGATGCCAGGAGTTTGAAACTAGATTGGTTAACATAGTTAGATCCCATCTCTACAAAAAGATTTAAAAATTAGTGGGCCGGGCACGGTGGCTCAGGCCTGTAATCCCAGCACTTTGGGAGGCCGAGGCGGGCGGATCACAAGGTCAGGAGATCGAGACCATCCTGCCTAACACAGTGAAACTCCATTTCTACTAAAAATTCAAAAAATTAGCCGGGTGTGGTTGCGGGCGCTACCGCTACTCGGGAGGCTGAGGCCAGAGAATGGCGTGAACCTGGGAGGCAGAGCTTGCAGTGAGCCGAGATCGCGCCACTGCACTCCAGCCTGGGCAAGAGTGCGAGACTCTGTCTCAAAAAAAAAAAAAATTAGCTGGGCATGGTGGTATGCACCTATGGTCCCAGCCACTGGGGAGGCTGAGATGGGAGGATCGCTTGGAGATTGAGGCTGTAGTGATCGCACAACTGCACAACAGAGTGAGATCCTGTCTTTTAATTAAACAACAACAATAATAAATTTATAAAAAAGAAAAGGAGGACTCTATAAAAGCAGTTTTGAAAGCTTCATGGAGTAAGACACAGCAGAAATGAGAGCAGAGGAACTGGGGTGTGGAGCCAGGGAAGTGTTGGGGAGTGGTAGGGGGACGCAATCATACATTTTTCTTTTTGTAGAGATGGGGTCTTGCTTTGTTACCCAGGCTGGTCTCGAACTCCTGGCCTTGAGCGATCTTCCCATCTCAGCCTCCCAAAGTGCTGTACAAGTGTGAGCCACCATGCCTGGCCACAATCCTACTTTTGAGAATCAAAGAATTAAAAAAAAGCTTATAGCTTATTTTCCTATGATTGACATAAAACACCGGAAATGTCCTTTCTTCCAGGGGCCCTTTATAAGCTAGTAAGCAACATATATACTATGGATTTGGAGGCATCAATATTTTTCTTAAAAGAGGTTGAAATTTAGCTTTTCCTGACTCAACCCTGAATAACTTCAGTACAGCCTTCATACACAATTCTATTTAAGTCAATAGATAAAATAATCATATGATTGTGTACTTACTGTGTTCATAGTCCAATAGAGAGTTTATACTAGCTAATAGAATTTGGAGTTAAGTAGATGGAAAAATCACCACAGCTGAATCAGAGGCCAAACCTTCTGTCAGACATGCAGACATTTATCATCCCAGTTTTCACGTGGCTGGGTGTAAGGTTCTATTCTGCCAAGCATAAGCTCAACAAGACCTGGCTGTGGACAAGGGTATTCTTTTCTTTCTTCCTGCCTGCACATTTCCCAAGAGGGCTGAAGGAGTTCAGGAAATGCCACCCCTAGCCTGGGCATGGTAACTCATGCCTGTAATCCCAGCTGTTTGGGAGACAGAGATAGGAGGATCACTTGAGGTCAGGAATTGGAGACCAGCCTAGGCAACATGGTGAGACTCTGTCTCTGCAAGAAATAAAAAAAAAAAAAGTAGCCGGGCATGATGGTGCATGCCTCTGGTCCTAGCTACTTGAGAGACTGAGGCGGGAGGATCTCCACCCCAAAATATGATGCTTTGGTGTGCTGATTACTTTCAACTGAGGTTATGTGGGGAGCAGCTCATACAGGCAGAGGTTTTCTCTGAGCTTCCTTATCTAAAGACAGATTATCTAAAAGGAACTTAATTGTCATGAATCCCCTCCCCAGGAAACTCACTAACCAGGGAAGATTGGCTCCTATCACAGGAGAGGAGAGTAGACCTTGATAACACACGCAGACTTTGTCACCGGCTGTTACCTGTTCTTCTGACAGTCCATTTATCTTTCCCCCAAACTGTTTACTCTCCCCTAAGTTACCTAATCACCTATACCCTCTGTCCTAAGAAGAGGGTACATAAGCTTCTGAATCTCACTGGGTTCTGGGATATTCGCTTTTCTTTCATGTGATGTCCCTGTGTCCATATCTAATTTGTATACCTTTTCTCCCATTAATCTGACTACTGTCAATTTCTTTCAAGGACTCAATTATTGAATTCTCAGAAAGTAGAGGAAAGGTCTTCCCTCCTGTACAGGAGGAAAGACTCCTGAGTTCAGGAGCTTGAGATCAGCCAGAGCTACATGCTGAAACCTCATTTCTACTAAACTACAAAAAGCCAGGCATCCAGCCTGGGTGACAGAGTGAGACTCCATCTCAAAAAAAAAAAAAAAAAAAAAAAAATGTTTATATACACACACACACACACACACACACACACACACATACACGGCACTAAAAAGAAACAAATCCTAAATTTATCACAGTGAACTCCAGCAACTGAGAAGACCCAAGTGAGCCCTTCCCAAAACAGCCTCTCTCCTGTCACAGGTAACCACCATCCTGACTTGTCATACTGACTTCTGAATGTTACAGAGATGGGCTCAGACAAGTATGTTTTTGCCTAGATTATTTTGCTCAACTTTGTGTTTATAAAATTCATCAAGGTTTTTACATGTAGATACAGTTCATTATTTTTTATTTATAGTTGAATTCCATTGAATTCCTATACCACCATTTACTTACCCACTCTGCTTTATTTCCAGTTTTGGCTATTACAAATAATGCTGCTATAAACATTTAAATACATGTCTTTTCATCAACTGTGCATGTACTTTTCCGTGGCCTACTCCACACAGTAGAATGGATGGTGCGTGTGTAAGGTACACATGGTTTTGTAGGTAATAGCAGGTAGTTTACCAAAGTGGTTGTTATAATTAACACTGCCATGAGCAACATTTGAATTGAAGATCCATGAATTCCACTACCAGTTACAGATCCTTGAGAGATGTGTACCTATATAAATCAGGATACACATACTTCAGTGATTACGATTGCAGTGTTGGTGATAACTGCAGACTAGACACAACCCAAACAATCATCAGGTATAGAAGGGATCTGCAGCCGCGCATGGTGTCTCACACCTGTAATCCCAGCACTTTGGGAGGCTGAGGCAGGCAGATCACCCGAGGTCAGGAGTTCGAGACCAGCCTGGACAACATGGTAAAACCCCATCTCTGCTAAAAATACAAAAATTAGCTGGGTGTGGTGGCAGGTGCCTGTAGTCCCAGTTACATGGGGGTCTGAGGCAGGAGAATCGCTTCAATGCAGAAGGCGGAGGTTGCAGTGAGCTGAGATTGCGCCACTGCACTCCATCCAGCTTGAGCAATAGAGCGAGACTCTGTCTTCCCAAAAAAAAAAAAAAAAAAAAAAAAAAGGATCTGCCTACTGTGGCATAGATATGGAAATACTAGGATAATGATATGTCTGTATACCTATAGTGATATGCATACACTCTGTATACATACACAGTGAGAAAGATACATGCTACATGCTGTATATATTATATATAATGAGAGAACACCATCAATAAAAATTAAGAAGCTGGAATTACACACAACATGGATAAATACAGAAAATGCAATATCAAGTGGAAAAGACAAAAAAATACATACAGTTAAGAATAAACAAAACTACGTAAGATGTATTCCTGTAGCTTAAGTATGTAATCACGAGGAATAAAATTACAAAGAGCAGCATGGAGGATTCATCTCAGTCAGAATAAAAGGTCAAGATTCAGAAGGGATACCCACGAGTTTTGAGGGAGCTCAGGATCATGTCTTTCTTGACTTGGGTATTAGATGATATATTTGTAAAGCAGTACTGTATTGTATGCAATTTTTCCCTATATATAGCTCACAAGAAAACAAGTTTGAGAAAAATAGTTCTGGGTTCAAGGTAGTAGACCTGAAATTTCTGGGTTTCATGTCAGTGAAATGTGTAGAGGATCTGGATTGTGAATGCCTGAATTAATACCCCAGCCCTGCCACTTTCATGTGTGAGGTTGAACAAGGCTCTTAGCCTTTTTGTATGGCTTTTTCTTTTCTCTTTTTTGAGACGGAGTTTTGCTTTTGTCGCCCATGCTAGAGTGCAATGGCACGATCTTGGCTCACTGCAACCTCCGCCTCCC
Source organism: Homo sapiens (assembly GCF_000001405.40). Lineage (NCBI taxonomy): Eukaryota > Metazoa > Chordata > Mammalia > Primates > Hominidae > Homo > Homo sapiens. The sequence continues at coordinate 24,922,137 of NC_000015.10, read as the reverse complement.
AGGTTCAAGCGATTCTCCTGCCTTAGTCTCCCTAGTAGCTGGGATTACAGGAGCCCGCCACGGTGCCCGGCTAATTTTTTTTTTTTTTTTTTTTTTTTTTAGTAGAGACGGAGGTTTCACCATGTTGGCCAGGCTGGTCTCAAACTCCTGACCTCAGGTGGTCCACTTGCCTTGGCCTCCCAAAGTGCTGGGATTACAGGCGTGAGCCACCGTGCCCGGTCTGTATGGCATTTTTATCGTCACTAACATATAACAGGTGGAAATGGAAAAGAGGAACAGTGGCTGATACAGAATAAGTACTCAACTGATAGTGACTAATACTGGTAACTTACATCCTCTGCTGTATTTAATTCGCAACAATACTAGACTGTGCTCAGAAAAGCCAGTTTCAATAGGCCAAGTGAGTTGGCCTGAAGGACTGTGCTCTCTTCCCTTTCTGCAATGGCCATCTGACTAGCAAATTCAAACCAAGAACCCAGTCCTGTGCCTCAGTTACGACATGTTAACAGGCCAAGGGCTGATCATAAGGTCATTTACCAAGCCCTGGGTGGCTCACTTTCCTAGGGTGGAGCCCTTTAACCACAGGAGGACTTGGAGAACCTGACCCTACATATTGCCTGGATTACAACTAACCCCCATGCCTTAGGATTCCGTATCACAGTTGCTTCCACTCCCTTACCTGGGAAATAAGTTTGGCTTCCTTTATATGAACAGAAGGAAGATCTTTCTTGAATGCAGACAAACATGTTTCCAGGGCTACTCTGCAGGAACAGTTTCTGAGAGGGACTGTAACTCCTCAAAAACTGGGCTTTTCAGGCCATAAAAAAACGCACCTGCATCCTCACGAATTCCCTGGGTGAACCTCAAGCAAACTCTGCTCACCTGCTTAATGTCAATCTTCTTTAACCATGGCTACATCTGAAGCCTTCACAAAGCTGAATTTGCAGCTTCAGTTCTGTTGATTCTGGGTCAGATCTGATCCTGCATGAACATGAGCCTGTCAGAAGAGCCTTGGCCAAGTGGAATATTATGGCTGTCCTTGGATATATGCCACTTCCAGAATTTGTATTACACCAGACAAATCATGGACTGTCACTGACCCATCAGAAAAATGGGCTGAAGTGGATGGAAAATATCATACACCTCCAGCACATACTCTTTCAATCATTATCTACTTGGAAGGGTACTACACCTGGGTAACTCTCCGAAACAAACCTTTAACAGCAGCTGACCTAAAACACAGACACAAAGCAATAGCTATGCAAATGATGTCTGAGCTTCGCTTCACTGCTGGGACTTAAGATTTTGGAGGCAATTTGGTCCAGTCATTCTCAAACTATAATAAACATACAAAACACTGGAAGAATTGTTAACATGTGATTCTGAATCCATAGGTCTGGGATTGAGTTTATGCCTCTATACACGCCCGCTGCCCGCCCACGTTCTCCCTTACTCCCCAGCCCTTGAGGGGGTTTGAGTGTATAAAGCACTCATTCACATATTGAAACTGGGCTTCAGCTCTGCTCCCTCCTCAGATTTGGCACATTACTGTAATTTTCTCTAACCCAGGTTAGTGAACCCGAATCCCACCTCTCTCAACGTGTGTTCCTCAGACCAGTCCTGGCACTTGTTCGAAATGCAGATTCTTCTGCCGCAAACCAAACCCTGAGAATTAGAAACCCTGGGATGGAGCTTGCACGCTGTGTTTAACAAGCCCCCAGGTGATACTAATGCACACTCAAGTGGGGAAATGACTGCTCTTGCCAGAGGGATATACTAGAACAAAGTAACCGGAGAAAAGCAAACACTGTATCCAAAAAATGGGGAAATAATTAAATTATGCAGTTAAATCGTAATTAAAATGAACACGGCTTGAGCAACACAACACGTTTCTGATTCAGAAAAAAAGGTTTACAAGCATTTATAACAGAGGAGGTCACAGACTAGACAGGATGTGCATGCAAGTGGAAGGTAAGGAGGAAGAGGCTGGAGATATATAAAATTTCTACTTACATAAGAGAAAGTAGATTCAGCCACTGGTAAAAGGGGCAGCAAAAATCTGTAGAGGAGATTCTGGTGGAAGAGTATGTTCAGGGAATGTTGCCTTCTGAGTTCCACTTACATATGCTGAGGTTGAGAATTGTAAAGAAAAAAGATATATCAGGTCATTCAAAATAGAAGTACATGTATCTAGAAGTTATGCAAAACGTGCTTTGTGTTCCATGAAAAGGGGAGATACAAATGGGGCAGAGGAACATTTTATAAAAACATAGCGTTCTGTACACTGACAAAGATTCTTTGCTTGATCAAACATTAGTCAGGCACCTGAACCTTCTCCAGTCTGTGCACTTCCTTGTCAAATCCAGCTTTAGCAAGAACTTCCTTACCTTTGATATCTGATCACCCTTAATATCTTACCAGGTTCATCATCCTGCACCATCCCCCAAGTGATGTTTGATCACCCTGGCCTGTCTTCAGCAAAAATCCTGTTAGGCTGGTTTAGCCAGAATCCCCCTAACCTTTGAGGTTTCTCATTGGTAATTTTCCATTCACAGACCTCCCAGCCTGCTCTTTGGTTATAAATTTCCGCTTGCCTACGCTGTTTGGAGTTAGCCCAATCTCTATCTGCAGAGGTCCCTGTACCTATCACCATGGTGACCCTTACCTTGCTTTAACAAGCATAATTGAATATTTTTTTTTTTTTTTTGAGACAGAGTCTCGCTCTGTCGCCCAGGCTGGAATGCAGTGGCGCTATCTCGGCTCACTCCAAGCTCCGCCTCCCGGGTTCACGCCATTCTCCTGCCTCAGCCTCCCGAGTAGCTGGGACTACAGGTGCCCGCCACGACGCCCGGCTAATTTTTTGTGTATTTTTAGTAGAGACGGGGTTTCACCGTGTTAGCCAGGATGGTCTTAATCTCCTGACCTCGTGATCCGCCCGCCTCGGCCTCCCAAAGTGCTGGGATTACAGGCGTGAGCCACCACGCCCAGCAATTGAATAACTTTTTAACGCACACACATAAAATAAACCAAACGGCTATGTTATATATATATGCGCACATATATATTATGTTATATATATATGCGCACATATATATTATGTTATATATATATGCGCACATATATATTATGTTATATATATATGCGCACATATATATTATGTTATATATATATGCGCGCATATATATTATGTTATATATATGTGCGCATATATATATTATGTTATATATATGTGCACATATATATATTATGTTATATATATATGCACATATATATATTGTTATATATATGTGCGCATATATATATTATATATATGCGCACATATATATATTGTTATATATATATATGCACACATATATATTATGTTATATATATATGCACACATATATATTATGTTATATATATGCACACATATATATTATGTTATATATATGCACACATATATATTATGTTATATATATGCACACATATATATTATGTTATATATATGCACACATATATATTATGTTATATATACACACATATATATTATGTTATATATATACATATATATTATGTTATATATATACATATATATTATGTTATATATACACACATATATATTATGTTATATATACACATATATATATTATGTTATATATACACACATATATATTATGTTATATATATACACATATATATTATGTTATATATATACACATATATATTATGTTATATATACACATATATATTATGTTATATATATACACATATATATTATGTTATATATATACACATATATATAATGTTATATATATATACACATATATATTATGTTATATATATATATGTTTGCATATATATGTTATGCAAAATCCATACCATCTTTTAAGATAAAATGTGTGGTACTGTGGCAAATTTGCTGTAAAAGTCCTTGTCTCTGGCCTCTGTCCATTAGAGATATTTTGATAGAAAAGTGACAGAATGATAGAATCAAAAGCAAAGCAAATTCAGTATACACATATGCACATACAGATACGTACTTTTTATAAGAGGAGTCTCATTAAAATAAATTCTACCCTCAAACTTACTGAAAAATATTTAAAGTATTTTGAAAATTAAAGACAACACAATATTTTAAAAGTAAGGCATGGGAACAAATTTGCCCATAAATGATTTTTCTAACCATAAGATTAATGTAAAACTATTCTTGTATTGTTCTACATAAAATCAAGAGCTCTCTTTAGGTCACATTTGTTAAAGCCAGAACGAAAAGAAAAAAGTATAAGATTAATAGGGAAGTTGGCTCTTTTAAAATCTTATTTTACAGGGTACATTGTTAAGACTGTAGAGGAACATTTATGGTTTTTAAAAAACTAAATCCACAACATAAAAACGAGAGAACATGAAAAACAAATATGGAACACGGGCTTCCCGTGGCTGCGGAAAGAAAACCCTGAAGAGCAGCACCAACATCCTCACTGCGCACTGCAGCGCAGACCAGGGCGGGTTTGGCCCCTGCTAGCGGTCACTGCGCCCCCACACGTCACCTTCCCAGAATACCCCAGGCCGCGTTGAAATGATGGCGTTATTACCTGCAGGCAGGTGTAATGGTGGCAGGTAGGAGGAAAGCTCCCTCATTTTCACCAGGTGGCAGGCATGGAACATCCCCTGAAACCTTATGCAGTAATCTTGGTTTTTCTTCCCTAGCCTCAAAAAATACTTCGAAATTACTAAATTCTCCTCTTCAGGAGAGTCCAGGAATAGGAGTTTTAAAATAATTAAGACAACATAACATCTACTATAAAACATACATCCATTTAAAAAGTATTTGATCCAGAAGGAACTAAATCGTTGATGGAGAAAAAAATATGACATCATAGATCTCAAAGGAAATGTTCATTTCTTCTATTCCTACTTACCTGGAAATTTATGGCCTTTAAAAGCTGATTCTGAGAGATGAAGCCACCTGGACTTCGTAGGTCAGGTGGGGCCTTGGAGAACTTTTCTGTCTTACAACAGGTTTGTAAAATGCACCAATCAGTGCTCTGTAAAAATGCACCAATCGATGCTCTGTAGCTAGAGGTTTGTAAAATGGACCAATCAGCACCCTGTAAAATGGACCAGTCAGCACTCTGTAAAATGGACCAATCAGCAGGATATGGGTGGGGACAAATAAGGAATAAAAGCTGGCCACTCCACCCCAGCCACCAGTGGCAACCTGCTCAGTCTGCTTCTATGCTGTGGAAATTTTGTTCTTTCGATCTTCACAATAAATCTTGCTGCGGCTCACTCCTTGGGTCTGTGCCACCTTTAAGAGTTGTAACACTCACCACGAAGGTTCAGAAGGCTTGTGGCTTCATTCTTGAAGTCAGTGAGACCACAAACCCACAAACCCACCGGAAGGAACCAACTCCGTACACAATTCTTAATTAAAATTTCAAACACGAGCGTACTACTTCCTCAACAAATGCTGACACCTAATTTAATACTGTTACCATTATATGATCTACCTATAATCCATGTACACATATACTATGAAGCATATGTAGAAACAAACACCAATGTATGTATGTATATGTATTTTTTTCTTCTTTTTTTTTCTTCTAGAGACGATCTGGTTCTATCACATGGGCTGGAGTGCAGTGTTGCAGATCACTGCTCACTGAAAACTTGAGTTTCTGGGCTCAAGCAATCCTCCTGCCTTAGCCTCCTAAGTAACTGGGACTACAGGCTGAGTCACTAAGCTTATGTACCTATCTGATCTCTCTCCATCTCTCACTCTGTCTCTCTTTCTGTCTCTGTCTTTGTCTCTCTCTCCCCCCACTTTCCCCTAAGTTTTTAAATTTTTTCACTTTGAAACATTAACCCACATTGCTCCTTAAAAGAATAAGTCAACCAAGGCTGGGCGCGGTGGCTCACGCCTGTAATCCCAGCACTTTGGGAGGCCGAGGTGGGTGGATCACGAGGTCAGGAGTTCAAGACTAGCCCGGCCCACGTAGTGAAACCCCATTATCTACTAAAAATACAAAAGTTAGCCAGGCTTGGTGGCGGGTGCCTGTAATGGGAGGCTGAGGCAGGAGAATCACTTGAATCCGGGAGGCAGAGGTTACAGTGAGCCGAGATTGTGCCATTGCACTCCAGCCTGGGTGGCAGAGTGAGACTCCATCTCAAAAAAAAAAAAAAAAAAAAAGTCAACCTGGCCAAAAAAAAACCACAATGTGTGTATATAATCAGATGTATATCGCTGATTATTCAAGGAATAAAAAACTATAGAACTAGCTGAATATCATTCCTAAATTTGTCACAAGGAGTTTTATAATTTTGGAATTATTCCCTGCCACCCCTTAAAATTTTTATAGTAGCAACATTCTTCTATAATTACATAGATTTTTAAAAGTCAAATTACAAATAAAAAGACGAGGAATTTATAACTTTGGGAACAGTTTGTTATATTGTCAGGCTTATGTTGTAGAATGCAACAAATACAAGTTTATGCTATATTTTTGTAGGATGAAATCAGAACATCAACACTGGGAAAACAAACTGATTGGACAATAACATCAAGGTTGAAGAGAGCTCCACTGGAGAAAAGGGAGCATAATGCATACAGGAGGGATGACAAAGTTTCTCTGCTTAACCAAAATTTACTCAGGCTTCTCCTCCACCCATCTGTGGACCTCATTATAAAATCTAGTTTTAACAAGGAAGTCTGTTTATCAAGAACTCTCTTCTCGGCCGGGCAAGGTGGCTCACCCCCATAATCCCAGCACCTTGGGTGGCCGAAGCGGGCAGATCACGATGTCAGGAGTTTGAGACCAGCCTGACCAACATGGTGAAACCCTATCTCTACTAAAAATACAAAAATTAGCCGGGTATGGTGGTGCACGCCTGTAATCCCAGCTACTCAGGAGGCTGAGGCAGGAGAATCACTTGAACCCAGGAGGCGGAGGTTACAGTGAGCCGAGATCACGCCACTACACTCCAGCCTGGATGACAGAGCGAGACTCTGTCTCAAAAATAAATAAATAAATAAATATAAAAAAGAACCCTCTTCTCCTTGATATCTGATCACCCTTGATATCTGATCAGGTTCATCTTCCACCATCTTCCAAGTGATACATGACCACTCTGGCCCATCTTTAACAAGAATCTTGTTAGGTGTCAGTTTAGCCAGAATCCCCCTTATCCCTGATGTTTCCTTTTAGTAATTTTCCATTCCTTCACCCACTACACCCCAACCCTGCTTCTTGGTTATAACGTCCCTTTTTCCCATGATCTATTTGGAGTTCAGAGCAATCTCTCTATTCCATTGCAAAATCCCATTGCATTGGTCCCTGTATCTATCACAATGGTCCTGAATAAAGTTTTCTTTACCATGCTTTAATAAGTATCACTGAATATATAATTTTTTCAGTTATTCATTTTTGGTCCCCTGGACCTCTCACCCAGGACCTCAGGGTGCACCTTTGAAACCTTGTCTTTATTCCTAATAAGTTGATTGGGGATCCACTGGTGAATTAGACTCTGGAGCCATTGATTGCTCTGGACAAGTGTCCACTGAAGCTTGTAAGGATAGGTTTTAATTTTTTTTATTTATTTTTATTTTTAATTTTTGTGTGTGGAGAGGATCTCACTATCCCGCTATGTTGCCCAGACTGGTCTCAAACCCTGGGCTCAAGTGATCGATCCCCTTGCCTCAGCCTCCCAAAATGCTGGGATTACAGGCATAAGCCACCACACCTGGCCTTGATTCTTAAGAATTCAGAGTATAGTTTGAAGCTGGATTAGACTCCCAGGTATCTTTTGAAAGGTACTTCCTGGAATGGAAGGTCTTTTTCCTGGCTCTTTGTAGGGTGAAAATTATTTCCTCACCGTTGGGCTGCACATCTGTTCTTCCTGGCTCTTGTGGGAGGCCAGAATATGCCACCCTAAAACTGGAAGCATTGTTGAGCTGAAGACAATTAAGAAGAAGCAGATGCAGGGAAGTTTTTTGTTCTTCCTTTACTGGCCGAAAAGCAAGATATAGAGTTGCGAAGACAAAAGGTACCCTCTCCCTCCCCACTCTCCACACTCACGCTTTTACCAGGGAGAACAAAGGCTAACCACTGAAGAAAACTTTAGACCCTGGTCAGCCTGGAAATGATACCAAAGGAATTTATAGCAACATGCTTAGTAACTGAATTTATCTGCAATTTATTTGCCTTTCCGTAAGTTGTCACCCCTACGGACACAATCTCCTTTTTCTTTATCTTTTCACTTCTCTAAAAATGTACGGTTCTCTGCTGAAGATGCTATATATGCTGGAATTCAAAGCACTTCTTTGATAACTATTCATTCTCTGGGTATTTTCCATGTGTAGATGAAATACACACATTAATAAACTTGTTTGCTTTTCTCTTGTTAATCTTTATTTTGTTAAAGGGGTCTGTTTGGACTAAAAAATAAACTGAGTGTTATTTTTCCCCTACACTCTTTTTCTTTGTTTTTTTTGTTTTGTTTTGTTTTGTTTTTTTGAGACGGAGTCTCACTATGTCACCCAGGCTGAAGTGCAGTGGCGTGATCTTGGCTCACTGTAGCCTCTGCCTCCCACCAGGTTTAAGCGATTCTCCAGCCTTAGCCTGTCAAGTAGCTGGGATTACAGGCATGTGCCACCACGCCTGGCTAATTTTTGTATTTTTAGTAGAGGTGGTCTTTCACCATGTTGGCCAGGCTGGTCTCAAACTCCTGACCTCAAGTGATCTGCCCACCTTGTCGTCCCAAAGTGCTGAGATTACAGGCGTGAGCCACTATGCCCAGCCCTTATACTCTTTCTTGAGTGGGCATGATTCCTTAACTCCCTGAGATAGAATATTTTTCCTCCTGGCTCTGTTTTCCTGAGTATCTTAGTCCGTTGTACTGCTATTAGAAATACCTGATATTGGCCACGCACAGTGGCTCACGTCTGTAATCCCAGCACTTTGGGAGGCAGATGGGGCCAGATCACCTAAGGTCAGGGGTTCGAGATCAGACTGGCAAACATGGTGAAACCCTGTCTCTACTGAAAATACCAAAGTTAGCCAGGTGTGGTAGTGCATGCCTGTAATCCCAGCTACTCAGGAGGCTGAGGCAGGAGAATCACTTGAACCCAGGAGGCGGAGGTTGCAGTGAGCTGAGATCACACCACTGTACTCCAGCCTGGGCGACAAAGCGAGACTCTGTCTCAAAAAAATAAATAAATAAATACCTGATAATGAGTAACTTATAAAGAACATAAACTTATTTGTCGTGTTTCTGGAGGATGAGAGGTCCAAGATCAAAGCAGCAGAAGGAGGTCTAAACGGGGCTGCTGTCTGTTTCCAAGATGATGTCTTGTTGCTGCATCCTGTGGAGGAGCCATGACTATGTCCTCACATGGTGAATGGGGCAGAAGGGCAAGAAAGTACTCCCTTTAAATTAATACACTTTTATAGAGATGTTAATCTCATGCATTAGAGCAGAGCCCTCATGGCTTAGTCACCACGCAATTGCCAAACCTCTTAATACTGTTGCATTGGGCATTAAATTTCCACACTAATTTTAGAAGGGACACCATTATTCAAACCATAGCACTCCACCCTTGCCATGACATGAGAATTCATGTCGTTCTCACCCACAAGAATATGTCCATTCCATCTTAGTAACTCCAAAATGTCTTAACTCATTCCAGCATCAACTTTCAAGTGTAAGTCGAAAGTCGCATGTAAATATCATCTAAATCAGATATAGGTGATGCTCAAGGTACAATTAATCCCGAGACAATGGCTCTCCAGCTGTGAACCTGTGAAGTCAAACAGATTATGTGTTTCCAAAATACAATGGTTGGACAGGCACAGGATAAACATTCCCTTTATAAAAGTCAGAAATAAGCCAGGCATGGTGCCTGCAGTCTTAGCTATTCAGGAGGCTGAGACAGGAGGATCTCTTGAGCCCAGGAATTTGAGACCAGCCTGGGTGACATAGCTCGACCCCATGGCAAAAACAAAAGGTTGGTGGAGGAAATAGGCAAGAAGATAGGGGTAACATGTCCCACATAACTTCAAAACCCAACAAGGCCAACAAAATTCAATCTTGAGGTGTGAGAGTCAGCTTTTTTGATTCTACCTCTCACCTTACAGAGACACTGGGGTAGTGCTTAGGTTCCCAAGCCCCCAGGGGACCCTGCTGCCATGACTGCTGGAGTCAGCCCATGCCACAGTTCTACAGGTTGTAGTCAGGTGTCTATGTCTATTACAGGTTGGAATACGCACTACCGGATCTACAGGTCTGGGTCTAGGAACTCAGGGGTGGCCCTGTCCCTATGGCTCCACTGAGTATTGCCCTAGTGAGGGCACTCTGTGGTGGCCCCAACCCAATAGTTCTGCTGGACATTGCCCTAGTGGGAACTTTCTATGGCAGCCCTGCCCCTACAGCAGTTCTCTGATTGGGCCCTGAGGCATTCTTCAAGGCTTCCTTGGAAATTAGGTGGAGAAAGCCATGCCTTCACAGCTGTGGATTTAGCATGCCTGCAGTTAGCACCACATGCATGCTGCCCCATGTTTTACTACTTGTGTTTTCTGGAGGAGTGATCTGAGCTGTACCTGGGCCCACCTGAACCACAGATGGGGAAGCTTTGCTTGACTTCAGGGAGCAGATACATGAGGCAGCATAGTCAGTGAGCCCCAAGTTCCCACAGGCATCTTGGGTTGCACTGGAATCCTGGGCTCCTTCCTTAAAATTGTTATTCCCTCAAGGACCTGGCACTTTGGGCCTGTGATGGTTGTGGCATTCTCAGTGCTCTCTGAAATGTCTTCAGGGTCATTCTCCCATTGTCTTAATGAATAGCATCTGGCATTCTAGTCATACTAATCTCCTTATGAAACGGTCAGTTGGCCACACAGTTGGTTTTGTCTCCTGAACTTATTTAAAAAATTCTTTACAAGGCCAGGCTGTTAATTTTCCAAATCTTTATGTTCAACTTCCCTTTAAAAATAATTTTCTTTGGCCCTTTCCAGCACTGACGACCTACCCACAAGAACATGCTTCTTGCAAAGGATCTCCTTCATCCCTCTCCAGAAGAGGAGAAGAGGAAACACAAGAAGAAACACCTGGTGCAGAGCCCCAATTCCTACTTCATGGATGTGAAATGCCCAGGATGCTATAAAATCACCACGGTCTTTAGCCATGTGCCAACAGTGGTTTTGGGTGTTGGCTGCTGCACTTTCCTCTGCCAGCCTACAGGAGGAAAAGCAAGGCTTATGGAAGGATGGTCCTTCAGGAGAAAGCAGCACTAAAAGCACCCTGAATCAAGATGAGTGGGAAACCATCTCAATAAACACATTTTGGATAAAATAATGATAATAATAGTCTTTGGCCAGGTGAGGTGCCTCACGCCTGTAGTTCCAGCACTTTGGGAGGCTGAGGTGGGTGGAACACGAAGTCAGGAGTTCGAGACCAGCCTGGCCAATATGATGAAACCCCATCTCTACTAAAAATACAAAAATTAGCCGGGTGTGGTGGCGGGCGCCTGTAATCCCAGCTGCTCAGGAGGCTGAGTCAGGAGAATCACTTGAACCCGGGAGGAGGCAGAGGTTGCAGTGAGCCGAGATCGCACCATTGCACTCCTGCCTGGGCGACAGAGCAAGACTCCATCTCAATGATAATAATAATAATAATTAGCATTTTTTTTTGAGATGGGATCTCACTCTGTTGCCCAGACTGTGGTACGATCATAGCTCACTGCCGCCTCGACCTCCTGTGCTGAAGCAACCCTCCTACCTCAGCCTGCAGAGTAGCTGGGACTACAGGTGTGTGCCACCATGCCCAGCTAATCTGCTTCCCTTTTGATTAGAAGTCCTATCTTTTCTCTTCTCACAGTTTACTATAAGCAGTTAAGAGAAGCTATGCAGTACCCTGAAAACTTGGCTTAGAGATTTCTTCTGCCAAATGTCCTAGTTCATCGCTCTTACATTCTACCCTCCAAAAAACTATTAAGACACAGAAATACTTCCACCAAGTTTGTGGCAGGGCAGGCTCCCATTAGCAACCAGAACAGTCAGTTTCCACTGACCCTCTATTATAATTCTAATGAATGTATAAGTTAAACATTAAAGAACTGGAGAAACAGGTGACTGAGCATGAGGGCTGGAATATTAAAATAAACCCATTAAAATGGGCTTTCTTAGCCTAAAGTCTGGTTGAATAATAAAAGCATTTTACACAGATACCTTGTTCCAGGTACCCACTGAAGATTAAAAAGCTTTCCCCTTCTCCCTGCCCCAGCGCCGCTGTGCCTGCTGGTCTCTGTTGAGCTGTGGACGCGGGTCTCTGTTCTGCAGGATGGGGTTTGTTAAAGTTGTTAAGAATAAGGCCTACTTTAAGAGATACCAAGTGAAATTTAGAAGACGATGATGAGAGGGTAAAACTGATTACGATACTCGGAAACGCTTGGTGATACAGGATAAAAATAAATACAACACACTCAAATACAGGATGATAGTTCGTGTAACAAACAGAGATATCATTTGTCAGATTGCTTATGCCCATATAGAGGGGGATATGATAGTCTGCACAGCATATGCACACGAACTGCCAAAATATGGTGTGAAGGTTGGCCCGACAAATTATGCTGCAGCATATTGTACTGGCCTGCCGCTGGCCCGCAGGCTTCTCAGTAGGTTTGGCATGGACAAGATCTATGAAGGCCAAGTGGAGGTGACTGGCGATGAATACATTGTGGAAAGCATTGATGGTCAGCCAAGTGCCTTTACCTGCTATTTGGATGCAGGCCTTGCCAGAACTACCACTGGCAATAAAGTTTTTGGTGCCCTGAAGGGAGCTGTGGATGGAGGCTTGTCTATCCCTCACAGTACCAAACAATTCCCTGGTTATGGTTCTGAAAGCAAGGAATTTAATGCAGAAGTACACCGGAAGCACATCATGGGCCAGAATGTTGCCGATTACATGTGCTACTTAATGGAAGAAGATGAAAATGCTTACAAGAAACAGTTCTCTCAATACATAAAGAACAGGGTAACTCCAGACATGATGGAGGAAATGTATAAGGAAGCTCATGCTGCTATACGAGAGAATCCAGTCTATGAAAATAAGCCCAAGAAAGAAGTTAAAAAGAAGAGGTGGAACCATCCCAAAATGTCCCTTGCTCAGAAGAAGGATTGGGTAGCTCAAAAGAATGCAAGCTTCCTCAGAGCTCAGAAGCAGGCTGCTGAGAGCTAAACCAAACAATTTTCTATGATGATTTTTCAGATACAGACAATAAACTTATGGACAGCAAAAAAAAAGAAAAAGAAAAAAAGATTAAAAAGCTTTCCAAGACTCTAGAGAAAGATTTCCAGACCCTAGGTCCTAGTTAAAGTTTAGATATAGATTGAAGGAAACACTCCTGCTTGGAGGTGCAATTCCACTCCTAGCATGGGAGCTTAAAATGTATATAAGCACTAGAAAAAAACTTGTAACTTTGAGTTGGTATGGTGAGTTACTCCGGCCTTCTCCCTGTAACCAGCTGCAGAAATAAACTCCCTTCTTTCCCAGACCTTGTTCTGTTCTTTCCAGGAACAAATCCTCTGCCACTTTGTAACAAGGATGGCTTTTCCTCCAGTTTCCAATAAGATATCCCTCATTTCCATCTAAGACTTCATCAGAATGTCCTTTACTGTCCATATTCTTTCTAACATTCTGTTCACAACCACCTAGATAATCTCAAAGACGGAGGCTTTCTCTATGGCTTTTCATCTTCTGAAGCCTCGTCAGAATCGCCTTAATGCATGGCAAACTAGCCTTCTTCTAGCATGCACTTCCAAACTCTTCCAGCCTCTACCCATTACTCAGTTCCAAAGCAGCCTCTACATTTTTAGGTATTTGTTATTGCAACACTGCCACTTCTCAGTACCAATTTCTATCTTAGTCAGTTGTGCCGCTAAGCATAATAACTGAGCCTAGGAAATCTATAAAGAACAGAAATTTGTTTCTCACAGTTCTGGAGTCAGGAAGTCCAATTACGCCATCAAGTCACTGGCATAATTTGTGTCTAGTAAGGGCTGCTCTGTGCTTTCTTTCTTTCTTATTCTTTTTTTTTTTTTTTTTTTTTTTTTTGAGATGGAGTCTAGCTCTGTTGCCCAGGCTGGAGGGCAGTGGTGCAATCTTGGCTCACCACAACCTCCACCTCCCGGGTTCAAGTGATTCTCCTGCCTCAGCCCCCCGAGTAGCTGGCATTACAGGTGCCCACCACCATGCCCAGCTAATTTTTGTATTTTTAGTAGAGATAGGGTTTCACTGTGTTGGACAGGCTGGTCTCGAATTCCTGACCTCATGATCTGCCTACCTTGGCCTCCCAAAGTGCTGGGATTACAAGTGTGAGCCACCGCGCCTGGCCTACTCTGTGCTTTCAAGGTAGTGTCTTGGCCAGGCGTGGTGGCTTATGCCTATAGTGCCAGCATTTTGGGAGGCCGAGGTGGGAGGATCACTTGAGCCCAGGAGTTTAAGACCAGCCTGGGCAACATACTATTTCACTGAAGATTACATTTCAACATGATTTTTTTCTTTTTTTTGAGATGGAGTCTCGCTCTGTCACCCAGGCTGGAGTGCAGTGGCACGATCTCGGCTCACTGCAAGCTCTGCCTCCTGGGTTCATGCCATTCTCCTGCCTCAGCCTCCCGAGTAGCTGGGACTACAGGCGACCGCCACCACGCCTGGCTAATTTTTCTATATTTTTAGTAGAGACGGGGTTTCACCATGTTAGTCAGGATGGTCTCGATCTCCTGACCTTGTGATCCGCCTGCCTCGGCCTCCCAAAGTGCTGGGATTACAGGCATAAGCCACCATGCCCGGCCTCAACACGAATTTTTGAGAGGGCACCATCATTAGAACCATAGCAGTGGGGATTATTCCCTGGATACTTGGCCTGGAAGTCCTTCCTCCGTAGGTATTATTCCCTGACTTCCTGGGCTGCGAATCTTTTACTCCCAGCTCTATTTAAGACCAATCCATTCTCTATATTGGATTCTGCTTCTCCCTTGGGATGTTCTCTGTCATCTGAATCCCCTCTTCTCAAATCCCTGCTTACGATATGCTTTGCCAACTCTGTCCACCTCTTTTTTGGCATTATTTTACCCTTCAGTTCTCTTGCCTCCTTTGATATTTCCCCCTTCAAGCCCCTAACTGCTTCATCCTCCCTCCCTCTGCCCTCCCCTGCCAGCCTTTTATCTCCTCCAGTCCCACAATCACTTGAACTTTAGGGCCCTCTTCTCCTAAGGGACAGCAGATCCTGCAAAATCAACTACCTGCGTCAGAAAAGAAAAAACCTAATTAGAAATAGACTGGATGACAACTTCTAGATGTCTGCTCAGCCATTCACCTAAAATTTCGTTAATAGCCTCCGTAAGAATGACCTCTGATAATAGGCACTTACACCCCCTTGAGTCTCTGTAAATAATGCCCCCAAATATGGCACCTCAGAAATTGAGATAATAGATGCAGGAAGCACAGTCTTTGACCTCTTCCCCCTGAAGTGGGTCACAAAAGAATTCTCTGACCTACCTCCCCGGAAAGTAGGTCATAAATTCCTCACTCAGGAGCAGTCCTTTTCTATACGCAGAGACCAAGAAGAATCTGAACAGATCTGGCTAATTTCTCCTCAGATTATTGCCACTAGGTCATACCCATTTGTTTTCCAATCACACATTTGCATAGCTCTCTGTAAAAATAGATTTTTCCAGCCATGTACGGTGGCTCATGTCTGTAATCCCAGCACTTTGGGAGGTCAAGGTGGGTGAATCAGTTGAGCTTGGGAGCTCAAGACCAGCCTGGGCAACAAGGCAAAACCCCATCTCTACAAAAACAAAACAAAACAAAAATTAGCCAGGTGCAGTGGCACCCACCTGTAGTCCCAGCTACTCGGGAGGCTGAGGTGGAATATGGCTTGAGCCCATGGAGGTGGAGGTTGAAGTGACCTGGGATCGTGTCACTGAACTCCAGCCAGGGTGACAAAGCCAGACCTTGTCTCAATTAAAAACAAAAACAAAAACAAAAAAACCCAGGATTCTCCCTGGTTCTTTTGATCTTCATTTCTAAAAGCTCCCATGTCACATAATACTTTTAGTAACTACATTTGATATTATTTTTTCTTATTAATATGTCTTTTGTTATAGGAGTCTCACTCGTTAACCTTGTAATGGGTGATGAAAATATATTACTTTTTCGTTCCTACAGTTTCAAATAAATCACCTTTGTGTCTGTTGCTGGGTGGGCCCCTCAGGAAGTTCACCAGAACACTGGATGTAATCACCAAAGACATACAAACTGTAAACTAGGAAAACTCATTAGACTGTCACTACCTTCCTAACTTCACCATCTAAAGATAAGCTCAAGTCTAAACAATCTTGACTGGCTGATCTCTGGACTCAGAAGCTGAGTTTACAGTTTATTCCAAATATTAATCTTTGTTTTTCTTTTATTTTCGCTAAACTAAGCTCCTCTCATTAAAAGCCTGGCAGCTACAACCACCTAGCAGTTATCTTCTACCAAGTCCCAACAAATGTTACAGCTGATTCTTAATGAACAAAACGCAACTCATCGACAACAAAAAAAATTGACTAACATTATTAAAATGAAATAATGTGTCTTTTTTTTTTTTTTTTTGAGATGGAGTCTCACTCTGTCACCCAGGCTCGAGTGCAGTGGCTTGATCTCGGCTCACTGCCACCTCCGCCTCCCGGGTTCAAGCGACTCTCCTGCCTCAGCCTCCTGAGCTGCTAAGACTACAGGCGCACGCCACCATGCCCAGTTAATTTTTGTATATTTAGTAGAGACAGGGTTTTACCATATTGGCCAGGCTGGTCTCGAACTGCTGACCTCATAATCCCCCCACCTCGGCCTCCCAAAGTGCTGGGTTTACAGGTCTGAGCCACCGCACCCGGTCCTCCCTGTTATTTTTTAACATCTATCTTAAAATCGGATGGGATTTCTGAGCCAGTCAAGGAAGTGTTCTTGAGCTAATTTGGTGGATTTAATTTTTAATTTTTTTTTTTTTTTTTTGAGACGGAGTCTTGCTCTCTCACCCAGCCTGGAGTGCAGTGGCAGGATCTCAGTTTACTGCAACCTCTGAATTCTGGGTTCAAGCGATTCTCCTGCCTCAGCCTCCCAAGTAGCTAGGATTACAGGCACATGCCACCACGCCCAGCTAATTTTTTTTTTTTTTTTTTTTTGAGACGGAGTCTTGCCCTGTTGCCCAGGCTGGAGTGCAGTGGCGCGATCTCGGCTCACTGCAAGCTCCACTTCCCGGGTTCACGCCTTTCTCCTGCCTCAGCCTCAAGAGTAGCTGATGCCCAGCTAATTTTTGTATTTTTAGTAGAGACAAGGTTTCACCATGTTGGCAAGGCTAGTCTTGAACTCCTGATCTCAAGTGATCCTCCCAAAATGTTGGGATTACAGAAGTGAGCCACTGTGCCCAGCCCGGATTTTCTTTCTTTCTTTTCTTTTCTTTTCTTTTTCCCAAGAGGGAGTCTTGCTCTGTTGCCCAGGCTGGAGTGCAGTGGCCCGATCTTGGCTCACTGCAACCTCTGCCTCCCGGGTTCATGCGATTCTCCTGCTTCAGCCTCCTGAGTAGCTGGGATTACAGGCGCGCGGCACCATGCCTAGCTAATTTTTGTATTTTTAGTAGAGACGGGGTTTCACCATGTTGGCCAGGCCGGTCTTGAGCTCCTAACCTCAGGTGATCCACCCGCCTCAGCCTTCCAAAGTGCTAGGATTACAGGCGTTAGCCACTGTAGCCGGCCTGAACAGATTTTCTAATAAAATATGAACTATGCATGTGTGCCATTAAAACATACTCCTGTACATCCATGTTTGTAATTGAAATCAGCCTAATAGGGTTCTCACCAACTGTTAACTGTAGTATGTGGTATTAAAAGTGGTTACGGGGCCAGGCTTCCCTGCATTTTTACTGTGCATTAGCCTGAATTGTGTTCCCTCACACACTGCAGCAAAACATAGCATTGTTTCAGTTTTGAAATATATTTAAAAATATATTCCTGCTGAAATGAACTTAGTCGTTTCTATGTTTTTACCCATCTTTTTCCTTTTTCTTGCTCCGATCTTTTTTTTTTTTTTGAGACAGGACTTTGCTTTGTAGCCCAGGCTGGAATGCAGTGGCCAGACCTCAGCTCTGCTCACTGCAACTGCCACCTCCTGGGCTCAGGTGATCTTCCCACCTCAGTCTCCCAAATACCTGGGACCACAGGCGTGCACCACCACACACAGCAATTTTTTGTATGTTTTTGTAGAGATGGGGTTTATCCACATTGCCCAAGCTGGTCTCGAACTCCTGGACTCAAGTGATCCGCCCCTCTCTGCCTCCAAAGTGATGGGATTACAAGTGTGAGCCACCGCGCTTGGCCCTGATCTTTCTTCTTCCAGCTTTCTGGGACTATCTCTCCCATTAAAACTCAGTAATATCCCTAGCAGCTGCTTATACCAACATTCTGTAAACTTTTTCATGGCCTTTTATTTTCTTGATACCGGATGGTTCCACAATCCTGAATCCTATAAACCAAATGAAGTTTCCATTGGAAAGCATGAATGGAACCTGTGCCGAAACATTCAAGGACTGATTTGGGATCCTGCATAGAGTGGTGTGAGTGGATGAAGAGAATGATGCAAGTTTTTGACCGTTTTCCTTGCAACCATTTCCTTTGGCCCTTAGGATGTTTTGTTTTTGTTTTTGTTTTTTCTCTGCCAAACCCTCTACGCTTTTGCCTGTATAGACTCTTTCTCTAAAGCCAAAACTTTGGGTTAACCACTTTTCAGACACTGGGAAACCAAAATTCTCAATTTACAGTCATATCTGTGGAATCCCTGTTAGGAAGCTGCAAACTGTAGCTAATGAATGTATCTAAACATATACAAAATCAAAGAATTAATGTGCCATTAAGTATCCTCAACATCCAGCCCCAGCATATGCTTTCAGATTGATTCAGGTAAATAAAATAATTTGTATCTGTGGTTCTGAGAGGTGAAGCCAGCTGGGCTTCTGGGTTGGGTGGGGACTTGGAAAACTTTTCTGTCTACCTAAAGGATTGTAAACACAACAATCAGTGCTCTGTGTCTAGCTAAAGGTTTGTAAACGCACCAATCAGCACTCTGTAAAAATGGACCAGTCAGCACTCTGTAAAATGAACCAATCAGCAGGACATGGGCAGGGCCAAATAAGGGAATAAAAGCTGGCCACCGGAGCCAGCAGTGGCAACCCACTGGGGTCCCTTTCCACGCTGTGGAAGCATTGTTCTTTTGCTCTTTGCAATAAATCTTGCTGCTGCTCACTCTTTGGGTCCACACTACCTTTACGAGCTTGTAACGCTTGTAACACCGCAAAGGTCTGCAGCTTCACTCCTGAAGCCGGCGAGACCATGAACCCACCTGGAGGAAGGAACAACTCCGGACTGAGAGCTGTAACACTGACTGCGAAGGTCTGTGGCTTCACTCCTGAAGTCAGCAAGACCACGAACCCACCAGAAGGAAGAAACTCTGGACACATCTGAGCATCTGAAGGAACAAACTCTGGACACACCATCTTTAAGAACTGTAACACTCACTGCCAGGGTGCACGGCTTCATTCTTGAAGTCAGCAAGACCAAGAACCCACTGGAAGGAACGAATTGCAGACACAGTTCCTGAAATAGTTCATCATCTGTTCATACTTAGTTTCTTTCCTGGAACAAAAATCCATTTTTTCTTCCCTGATATATATTTTTTTAAGTTACTACTATTTATTCTTGTCTCTAGTCATAATTTTCTTCCTCTAGATAGCATTCCCTGACCACTTAAATTTCAACTACATTCCTATACATCTGAAATTCCCCAGTAGAATGCATAGCCTAAATCACAAATTTTATATCCAGAATTAGTTGCTTATCTGTTTGTCTGAATTCCCAATTCACAGATGCCTCAAGTACAGGAAGAAAGCTGAATCTTTCATTCACCTCTCCATCTACCACATGCAACAAAGAACATGATCACTCAAATTTTGTTCACAAAAATGCAACGGAAATGCTATTTCCATTTTCCCCTCCCGAAATCAGGAACAATTAAGCATTTATGCAATACCATTCTGAAGTCCAAAAATAATATTAGATCTTGTCTTACGTTACAATTTCTCAGTTTCTCTTATTTACATAGAAGGAAAAGAACTTGTCTTGCCTATCTGTTCATCCTCATTTCTTCCTCCACAACCCCATTTACAACTCTATGAACAGATCATTCTGATTCCTTTGTAATTGGTGCGCCATGTCCCTTCTCGCCTCATTACACTTGTGAATTTTTCTGATTTGCATGTCCTTTTCTTCCTATGTTCTGTGCACTTGGAATCTGAATTTGCCCTTGAAAATTTAACTTAGTCATTATTTTACTTCAGAAACTGATGTTGACTCCTTATGTTGTTTAAAGATAGTTAATCTTCATTATTCTCAGGTTACATATTTGCAAATATGCCCACTCACTAAAGTTTATGTGTAACTTCAAAATCAATACCTGCGGTACTTTTGTGGTCATGCACAGAGTGGCAACAATTTTGTCACCAATTGAGCATATTCCCAGGTAAGGTAGAACACGATGACATTCTTTTTTGTCTCAGTCATACAAACAAGTGTTCTTTTCATGGTCCGTGTGGTATCACTCTGCAACTGTGAATTGACTTAGGGTTGAAAGCTAGGTAGGCATCTGTTGAACATTTGACTACCAGACCCGGAACTTTTCTTGATATAGAGATCAAACAATACTCTAAGTATGCTTCTCATCTATTTCATTCTAGGGACCCTGTGATCAGTTAGCTACCACCAAAGTCTTCTGTTTGCCAAAACATTCTGATTACTGGTACATCCCTCACTGGCCTTTAAAACAAATTGTACATTGTGTCTTTGGCAAAGTTATCACATAAGCAAGATGTTTGAGCCCTCTTCCTCTACCTAAGACGGCAATACCAAGGAATACATCTAACCAAGGAGATGAAAGATCTCTACCAGGAGAACTACAAAATAAATCTTTTTTTGTTAATTTTTTGAGACAGGGTCTGGCTCTGTTGCCCAGGCTGGACTGCAGTTGCATGATCACAGCTCACTGCACCCTCAACCTCCAGGGCTCAAGTGATCCTCTGATCTCAGCCCCCAAGTAGCTGGGACTACAGGTGCACCACTCTCACTGGATTATTTATTTATTTATTTTTTGTAGATACAAGGTCTCTTTATGTTGCCCAAACCGGTCTTAAATTTATGGACTCATCTTATCCTCCTGCCTTGGCATCCAAAGTGCTGGGATTATAGGTGTGAGCCACATGCCTGCAGCACAATAAATCTTGAATCCCCAGTAATAGCACTGAGATTAATTAACCCAATCTACTGTTATATTTTGTCCTCCTTAGTATAACGGCCTTAGAATGCTCTTCCAACATTCCCCAGGTTTCTTCCAATATATGTCACAGTTCCTTTTGCATGTAGCTGTTTCCTACAGGTCATAGTGTGTACCTATCCCTTAGGAATAGGTTGCTATTCAATCCTAGTTATGGGGTCTAGTCATGCTACTAGCAAAAAGTGATGATTTGTAGGGGACTTTAAGAAAAATGGGCATCCCCTTTAATGGTATCTAACCCAGCTTTTGTGCAAGGGAAAGATATTTTCTTCAAACAATAGAGACAAGCTACTTAAACTGGTAAGAAAGGCTCAGCCTGACTTTCTGTTTCCAGATGGTCAGTTTCAACTGAGTCTAAACAGATTCCCCCATTCCAAGTTTCCTGACCCATTCCAAGTTTCAGGATCTCATTCTTGGTTTTGATATTTAACAATATCAGCCCTGCAGCTACAACAAATGAATTTCCTTTATAGTCGCCATGGAAGTTCTCAGGTTTTCAAACCGTGGCTTGAACTGAGAATTAAGGAACCTAAGCTTGTTATTTTCTGTTCGTAATCACTCAAGGACCCTCAACTGAATCCATTCCACCCCACAGTCCTTACAGTTATCTTGACTGCCATAACATTCAGTGCAGCAGTCACTCGGGCTCCCAAGGCACGTGTTTCAGTTGGCACTTTGCCACAATCAACCACAGGTCATTGCTTGATTAATTGTGATACCACTGCATGTCATAGGTTGCTAGTATCCCATTGCACATTGACAAGGAGCTGTGGAATGTGCCCAAACATAAAGGAATGACCAACACAACCTCCCAGATTCATCTCTGTGGAAATATCTCTTGGAACAATGCCAGCATTAATTCTTTCAGTGAGGGTCCAATCAGGAGGCAGACAAAACACAAGAATTTGAGGAGGGAATGTTTGAAGTGGACATTTATTTACTATAAGTGGATTGCAATCCAGAGCTTGTTAGAGGCTACACAGAATAGTCACAGTGTGCGGCACCAGTGGAACTTTCCAGAAATCTTCCCACTTAGGTGCCAGGGAAAGGTGTTCACAGGTAGGTATATTATTGGAAGCACTACACTAGAAACCACCTAAGGGTAGGGGATATAGGAAGTGGCTGACCACTAGTGCTGCTGACTGTCATGCGTTGTAGGAGCCTGATGCTAGAAAAGCCATTGTTGCTGCAGGATTGCTCATGCATACTGTAGAAATATAGTGCTGGAGAAAGGCATGCATGCTATGGGAAACGGCTGAGAGACCACAGTGGAATCAGAAAGGAAAATCTCTTTTTACAATGTCCAACCACCTTCAATTACTGAAAAAACTTACTATTGCAACACAATATATTTTTAAGGGTATCTGACTCAATTTTCACAGAGCAGGCAATGAATGATTAATTTTGATCTAAAAGGCAACAGCTTATTAATTGGCATACAGTTCTTTTAATTAAAGGAATAATAAAAAATTAAAACATATCTTCAAACATAGTGATGGTATTTACAATATTTTAAACAGATCATTGATTTTTCCGTTGATGTTTGTAATAGAAAGTGTTGGGAGAAAAGCTGAGTGTTGGGAGAGAATTTGAGGCAGGGCCTGGATGTCTGACATAATGTAAAAGAGTCTTGGAACGTGTCTGGGGTCCAGGGTCTAAAACCCCTTGTGGCCTTTGGAATGTGTCTAGACTTGCTGGCTCCTTGCTTCTAGCACTCCCATTATCTCAAGTAGCCATATGTTTCAAAGAAAATGCTAAACCATCACAGCTGTAGCTCATTTGCTTGATACACCACTTCCTTTCAACCCCCACAGCCTCGCCACCTGTTTCTTTGTTTGATCACCAATAAATAGCATGGGGTCCCAGAGCTTGGGGCCTTCGCAGCCTCCATACTAGCATTGGCCCCTGGTCCCAGTTTCTCTCTTAACTTGTCTTTTCTCATTCCTTTGACTCCGTGGGACTTCATCGCCCCCACGGCCTGGTGTTGGGTCCGATCACCCCAACAGAAAACACTTAATTTTGACTCATACATTAAAGACAGATTAAATTGATAGTTGAGTTTGTAATAACACATTTTTCACCTGAACTCTGAGCTTCTTTTGTCATACGCAATTCAAAGTGGTTCACCCCTTTATACTTTCAATATATACTACTTTTTTTTTTTTTAGACAGATCTCACTCTGTCGCCAGGATGGGGTGCAGTGGTGCGATCTTCGCTCATTGCAACCTCTGCCTCCCGGGTTCAAGTGATTCTCCTGCCTCACTCTCCCGAGTAGCTGGGACTACAGGAGCCCGCCACCATGCCCAGCTAATTTTTGTATTTTTAGTAGAGACGGGGTTTTACCATGTTGGCCAGGATGGTCTCGATCTCTTCACCTCGTGATCCGCCTGCCTCGGCCTCCCAAAGTGCTGCGATTACAGGCGTAAGCCACCACGCCTAGCTCAATATATACTACTTATATGCCAATGAGGCCGGATGAAATGACCTACATGATGTGAACTGATCAAAACAAACTATTTTTTTTAAAAAGCTTGCATTTTTGCTCAGAAATGTTTGTCTCTGTTTTTTGTTTTTGTTTTTGTTTTTTTTCCAAGTGCTTCTCCCACAAGATTCATACATGTCAGGATTTTTGCCCCTATGGTGTTAGCAGTCCAAATGAGTAATTGCCATTGATAAGAGGGAATTTAGATACCATTTACCAAGAAAATGCTCTTGTAGTGCCTATTTGATCTTCCTAACACTAAAGGGAAGACACAGAGTGTAGTTCTACATATTTAGCAACTTTTTTTATTCATGTATTAATACATTAATACAGGGTGTATTAGTTGATTCTCAGCCTGCTAATAAAGACATATCTGAGACTGGGTAATTTATAAAGAAAGAGGTTTCATGGACTCACAGTTCCACATGGCTAGGAAGCCCTCACCATCATGGAGGAAAGCAAAGGAGAAGCAAAGGCACATGTTACATGGTGGCAGGCAAGAGCGCTTGTGCAGGGGAACTCCCATTTATAAAAGCATCAGATCTAATGAGACTTATTCATGACCAAGAGAACAGTATAGGGGAAACCACCCCCCATGTTTCAATTATCTCCACCTGGCCCCACCCTTGACACATGGGATTATAATTCAAGGTGAGATTTGGGTGGAGACACAGCCAAACCATATCACAAGGTCTCACGTTGTCATCCATTCTGGAGTGCAGTGGTGTGATCATAGCTCACTGTAACCACGAACTCCTGGGCTAAAGAAATCTTCCCATTCAACCTCCAGAATAGCTAGGACTACAAGCACACACCACCACACTCGGCTAATTTTTTAATTTTGTAGAGACAGGGTCTTGCTACGTTGCTCAGGCTAGTCTCAAACTCCTGGCCTCAAGTGATTCCCCCCACCTTGGTTTCCCAAGATGCTGGGATTACAGGTGTGAGCCACCACATCCAGTCAATTTAGCAGTTTACAACAATGTAAATATATTATCTCCATTCCTGTGGGTCAGTGGGCACAGGTTAGCTGGATTTTCAGGTGAAATATTTCACAGGGATTCAGTCAAGGTGTCAGTGGCCTGTATTACGTTTTTGTTTTTGTTTTTGTTTATTTTAGATAGAGTCTGGCTCTCACTCAGGCTGGAGTGCAGAGGGGTGATTTTGACTCACTGCAACCTCTGCCTCCTGGACCCAAACCATCCTTTCACCTCAGCCTCCTGAGCAGCTAGGACTACAGGTGCATGCCACTGTGCCCGGGTAATTTTTGTATTTTACTATAGAGATGAAGTTTTACCATGTTGCCCAGGCTGGTCTCAAACTCCTGGGCTCAAGCAGTCTACCCACCTCAGCCTCCCAAAGTGATGGGATTACAGGCGTGAACCACTGTGCGCAGACTCTGTTACTTTTTAAGCTCATTTGCTTGTTGGCAGAATTCATTTTACAATGGCTATAGAATTCATGGCAGCTTGCTTCTTCAAAGGCAACAGTGAAGAGACAGAGTCTTTTCTATTTTCCCTGACATCAGGGAAGGCCTAGGAGCCATTTTTTTTTTAGACGGAGTCTCGCTCTGTTGCCCAGGCTGGAGTGCAGTGGCACGATCTCGGCTCACTGCAAGCTCCGCCTCCCAGGTTTACACCATTCTCCTGCCTCAGTCTCCCGAGTAGCTGGAACTACAGGCGCCCGCCACCACACCTAGCTAGTTTTTTTGTATTTTTAGTAGAGATGAGGTTTCACCGTGTTAGCCGGCGGGGGGGTCTCGATCTCCTGACCTTGTGATCTGCCTAGGAGCCATTTTAAGTGGCTCATCTGATAAGGGGAGGTCTACATAGGCTATTCTGCCTTTTAATGAACTCAAAGCCAACTGATTTCTTTAATTACATCTGCACTATATCTTCACTTTTGACATATAACATAGCATAAACACAGTAACGATATCCTTTGCCACATGCTATTGGCAGGTTCTTCCCACACCCAAGGAAAGGGAATTGAATGAGAGTGACTAATTGTGGGTCACCCTAAGGTGTTTCCACTACTGTCACCATGCTTCAGGCACCACCTACTGTACCTCAGGGCCACATCATATCTCCCATCAGACCAGCTGGTAATTTCATGCTTCATCAAGTTTTTCCTGTTCTAACTTGGGTTGCAATTTTGCTCTGCTAAGGATATACCTAGAAAGAACTAATGTGTTCTGTGCATCTTTAACTTCTACCTAATAGCTTGCCCATGCAAGTAGAACTCAACATGAACCTTTCATAGCTGAATTATTATTAATATTATGTCTTAAGGTCTTACATGGGAATAACACCTTTAATACAAACATAGGCCAAATCTGGATTGAAAGACCTTGTTCTCATATTTTCCTTTCCATTTGCATCGCTGTGACTATGTGGTGTTCTGCAAACATAGAGTCTGTCTTGTCATTTCTACCCTTGGCTTAAGGCTCTCCTGGAGCAAAGGATATTCAGGAAGGCTAAGAGTAGATGTAAACAAATCTATCTTCAATATATGGACAAAGGATAAATTGCTACAGGGCTGGGAGAGAATGCAGAGTAACACAAAGAGAGTACCTTTGTAACGGCAGAACGTTTTCATACTGAGGTGTCTTGTTTATACTGTTTAGCATTCTTATCTCATGAGCCAGATATGTAACTGAGGCATGGGTGTTAAATGACCAGCAGCCATCAATTTCCAATACCAAATGCCATCTTTCAGCTTGACCAGATATGTGATGGCAATTTCAATTCTCTTTTTGACTCAGTCATCCAAAATTAAATGTTTGAGGTTAATCAATTTTAAGATAGTCATAGGGAATGTGTTGTCCGTGTGTGTGTGTGTGTGTGTGTGTGTGTGTGTGTGTGTGTTTGGGTGTATTTTTTCTGTAATGCTCTGACAATATATTCAGGACATGCCAACCCAAAATATGGAAAGTTGGCATAATGAATATTTTAAGCTGAAGGAATTTCAGAAACCAAATGTGTAGGAAGGACTTTCTCACCTTTCGCTGAAAGAGGTCATAAAACCTGGGAAGGGCTTTTTGACTTTCTGCTGAAGCAAGTAATAAAACCCTCATGTGAGAGCTGCCACGCTTTACCCAGAGGAAAAGATCTTTATCTCTGAAGACACAGGGACACTGAGAGGAATCTGAAGGAATAGCCCTTGCTGTTTCCCCCAGTTTATTACACTTAGCTGACACCTTTTGGTCCCATTACATTTCTCCATGACTCTTCGCTCTTCATCAGACCAGCAAAAAAAACACTCAGGTTTAACTGCTTCTTTTGGGCTTAGTTTTCTTATGAAGACTCATGTTACATAAAACATACAGTAAATCAACTTGCATGATTTTCTCTCATTAATCTGTCTCTTGTTACAGGGGGACAAGCAAAGGAATGAGAAGGGTAGAAGTTTCTGGCAACGAGAAAGGGACAGCTGGGACACTTCATTCTGGAGTCTGCAGGTAGGATTCTGGAAAACAGACACAAGCCTGTGCAAGGTGAGAATTTTCACCAAAGTCAGCTCTCCCAGATCTCTGTCAGTAGTTCCTGGTCAAGAGAAGAAAGTAAAAACTCCTTGTCCCTTATTTTCCCAATGCAGATGGATAGGAAAAAAATTATAAAAATTCATTATCTAGATTGTGACTGTAGCTTGATTTTGTGGTGCCTATTGGTTATTGATCCTTTCCCTCCCAGGAGCAGCTATTGCTTTTCTGTTTCTGTCATTTTGTGTCAAGAATTTGGCTTTGTTTCGGCTGGGCACGGTGGCTCACGCCTGTAATCCCAGCACTTTGGGAGGCCGAGGCGGGCGGATCACGAGGTCAGGAGATCAAGACACATCCTGGCTAACATGGTGAAAGCCCGTCTCTACTAAAAATACAAAAAATTAGCCAGGCGTGGTGGCGGGCACCTGTAGTCCCAGCTACTTGGGAGGCTGAGGCGGGAGAATGGCGTGAACCTGGGAGGCAGAGCTTGCAGTGAGCCGAGATCACACCACTGCGCTCCAGCCTGGGCGACAGAGCGAGACTCCGTCTCAAAGGAAAAAAAAAAAAAAGAATTTGGCTTGGTTTTCCACTTGATGGGGCGTACAAGTTGTTGGTTCTTGTGTGTGCAAGCAGCCAACCATCAGGTTGGGGGGCTGTGGGAATACAGCTGGACAGACATGTGGGTTGCAACCCATTTGCAGCTAACATCTATTGCCAGCTCTCAGGGGGAGTATCTAGGCCTGCCTTTCTTTTGGCTATCTTTGAGAGTGGTTTGGCATCTTTAGAGGGCTGCATTTTTTGCACCCTCTTTGAAGATGCCTCTGCATTCATGGGTAAGTCATAAAAGGCTTACGGATTGGGTTTTTTTCCTTTTTCCTTCAGTTTTTCTTTTCCTATTTTTTACCTTTCTCCACCTTTTTCTCTTTTCCTTTTTGTCATGTCAGACACGTAATGATGTCATAACAAGGACTGAGGGAGGCACATCTCACACATGAATATGAAAACCCTATCACCATACCGATAAAGAACCATGAAAGAATCTATGGATTTTGGTTCCAAGTCACTTGTAACGGGTACATTTTTTTTTAATGGGAATGTACTATCAGGAATATTTACCTTTCCTCTTGACCAAAACCTGATAAGATATTTGAAAAAAATTATATATATTTGAGACAGTGTCTTGCTCTGTCACCCAGGCTGGAGTGTAGTGGCACAATCACAGCTCACTGCAGCCTTGACCTCCTGGGCTCAGGTGATCCTCTCACCTCAGCCTCCCGAGTAGCTGGGACTACAGGAGCATGCCACCACACCCAGCTAATTTTGTTTATTTTTAGTAAAGATGAGGTCTCAATACGTTGCCCAGGCTGGTGTGGAACTCCTGGGCTCAACCAATCCTACCGCCTTAGGTTCCCAATGTGCTGGGATTACAGGCATGAGCCACGGCACCCAGCCTGAAAGGATTTTTTAAGACCTCTATGATCAATAGTTGGCCTAATGGGAAGCTGATAGTTACAGACTTATAGGAAAAACTTTCTTTTCTTCTTTTCTGTTTTTGTTTGTTTGTTTGTTTGTTTGTTTTGAGACAGAGTCTCACTCTGTCACCCAGGCTGGAGTGCAGTGGCTCGATTTCGGCTCACTGCAACCTCTGCCTCCCAGATTCAAGCAATTCTCCTGCCTCAGCCTCCGAATAACTGGGATTACAGACGTGCACCTCCATGCCCAGCTAATTTTTGTATTTTTAGTAGAGACGGGGTTTCACCATGTTGATCAGGCTGGTCTTGAACTCCTGACCTTAGGTGATCCGCCTGCCTCAGCCTCCCAAAGTGCTGGGATTACAGGCATAAGCCACCACACCCAGCCAATAGGAACAATTTTCTTAAGTCCTCTCTGTTCTCTCCTTTTGATCCGGATCTTCCCATGTAAACTTATCCATTGACAAAAAGCCTTTTCTTGAACCTCTGTTGGCTATAAGCTTTCACAATTCTGCCTACCTCCCTCTTTTTGGCATGATTTTGCTAAGGATATTTATTTATTTATTTATTTATTTGTTGAGATGGAGTCTCACTCTGCCACCCAGACTGAAGTACAGTGGTGCTATCTTGGCTTACTGCAGCTTCCACCTCCCAGGTTCAAGCGATTCTCCTGCCTCAGCCTCCCGAGTAGCTGGGATTACAGGCATGTGCCACCACACCCAACTAATTTTTGTATTTTTAGTAGAGATAGGGTTTCACCATGTTGGCCAGGCTGGTCTCAAACTCCTGACCTCAAGTGATCCACCACACCCGGCCTGATTTTGCTAAGGATAATTTGGAGCTTCACTAGCCTCTTTGGGGAATTTAATATCTCCCCCAGCTGGTTCCCTTAAGACCTCTTCCTTCCCCCTCTTTCTGTTCCTCCTTCCTACTCTTGCCACTTTCAATCTTCCATTCAGTTCCTTTGAGTCCTGGATATGATCCCTTCAAACTCCTACCTTCTCCATCTCTCTGTCTTCCTCCCCTGTCAGACTTCTTCTCTTAAACTTTAGTCCACCCTGCTGTCAAGGGACTCAGAGTCCTCCAAAAGTAAGTACCAAGGCTGAAGAGGAAAAAAAGACTATTTGGAAATAGACTGGATATTTTATCCACTCAGATGGGTGGTGGAGACATTTCGATAGCTGTTAGATGTCTTTGCAGTGACTCATTTAACATTTAGTCCACAGCCTTCAAAAGGGCTTCACAGGGCAAATGAAGATCTTAAAAACCTTCTCCATGAATATTGGTAAAAAGCATTAGGCCTAATATTTAGTACATAGCCTTAACTTGTCCCATTTACCAGGGACAATAGGGAAAAAATATGAAATGGAGAAAATATGAGAGATAACTGTTACATATAAAACAGTGACTTTGTATTACTATGTGTTTCTGATTCATGGCTAAGATTTTAGAATGATAGCTAGAAGATCTCTTTTGATATTTGCCTGTATGTTTATGTATGTCTCTCCATCTGTGTGAAATTTTTCTGCCTCTGATGGTATTACCAAATTAATTTATAAAATATCTTAAAAGAAATTTGCCGGGTGTGGTGGCTCATCCCTGTAATCCCAACACTTTGGGAGGCCGAGGAGGGTGGATAACCTGAGGTCAGGAGTTGGAAACCAGCCTGATCAACATGGTGAAACACCATTTCTACTAAAAATACAAAAATTAGCTGGACATGGTGGCGGGAGCCTACAATCCCAGCTACTTGGGAGGGTGAGGCAGGAGAATCGCTTGAACCCAGGAGGCAGAAGTTGCAGTGAGCTGAGATTGCGCCATTGCACTCCAGCCTGGGCAACACAGCGAGAATCCGTCTCAAAAAAAAGAAAAAAAAAACTCTACTGGGCCCAATGATACTACCAAATTAATTTATAAAGTTCCTTAAAAGAGGATTTAATTGACTTAAAGGGAAGTAAATGCTTACATAACTAAGTATTCCTAAAACTTAGAAATACAGAAATTAACCCGAATATTATTTTAAGTTCACATAATCTTGTATAGTCTTTGGTAAATAGAGCAACAACCCTGTCTCAAAAAAAATGCCATTTTGAGACCTTGTCTCAAAAAAAAATACCATTACACAACTGTATTCCCAGCATTTAAGGAGGCGAAGGCGGGCAGATCACTTGAGGCCAGGAGTTTCAGGCTAGCCTGGCCAACATAGCAAGATCCCATCTCTACTAAAAATACAAACATTAGCCAAGCGTGGTGGTGCATGCCTGAAATCACAGCTACTGGGGAGGCTGAGTCACAAGAACTGATTGGACCTGGGTGGTGGAGGTTGCAGTGAGCTGAGATCATGACACTGCACTGCAGCCTGGGCGATAGAACGAGACTCTATCAAAAAAATAAAAAATAATAATAATTTTAAAAATGGCATTTTATCTATTTCTCCACATGTTGTGATTATTTCTGACAAGCCAAAATGCATCATGGCTGAGATCCTGATTACAAAAGACAGATTTACAAGAGAAAAACATAATATATTTACTTAACGTAAGTTTTACATGACATGTGAGTCTTCAGAAATCAAGATGCAAAGGCCAAGGGATAGGTGGGGCTTTTTTGTTTTTTTGTTTTTGTTTTTGTTTTTTGAGACAGAGTCTCGCTCTGTTGCCCAGGCTGGAGTGCAATGGCGCGATCTCGGCTCACTGCAACCTCCACCTCCTGGGTTCAAGCGATTCTCCTGCCTCAGCCTCCTGAGTAGCTGGGACTACAGGCTTGTGCCACCACACCCAGCTAGTTGTTTTTTGTATTTTTAGTAGAGGTGGGGTTTCACCATGTTGGTCAGGCTTGTCTTGAACTCCTGACCTCGTGATCCACCCGCCTCAGCCTCCCAAAGTACTGGGATTACAGGTGTGAGCCACTGTGCCCAGCTGGATAGGTGTATTTTTATGGACAGTTTTGAAGAAATAGCTTTGGGGAACAAAGGGTATCATCTAATAGTAATTACCTGGGGAGAAATTCATAAGACCTGTTTGTTCAGATCTTTGTTGGTATCCAGGGATAGGGCAGAACTCCTCTGAAATGAGGGTCCCATTATGACCTACTTTCAGGACAGGTAGGGCAGATAATTCTTTTATGACCTGCTTCAGGGGAGAAAAGTGGGAGCAAATCAGAGAGTGGCCTTCCTGCTTCCATGGTTTTCTCAATTTCCTTCAGCTTAAAATACTCAGTATGCCAGGGCACCGCAATTGAGGATATCCTTTTTTTTTTTTTTTTTTTGAAATGGAGTTTCAATCTCACCTAGGCTGGAGTGCAGAGGTGCGATCTCAGCTCACTGCAACCTCTGCCTCTCGGGTTCAAGCCATTCTCCTGCCTCAGTCTCCTGAGTAGCTGGGACTACAAGCGTGTACCACCACACCCGGCTAATTTTTGTATTTTTAGTAGAGAAGGGGTTTCACCATGTTGGCCAGGCTGGTTTCAAACTCCTGATCTGAGGTGATCCACCTGCCTTGGCCTCCCAAAGTGCTGAGATTACAGGCGTGAGCCACCACACCCAGCCAGGGGTATCCTATTCTGACCCCCTGCACTACCTATGAAACAACAACATGAACATGTAGGGATGCACATTCAGTATGGAGGAAATGAAGCCCAGAGGAGTCGGTCTTTGCATGATTGATCCACAATCCCATCCCTGGTTCACCTCTCTTAAGAATTCGTGTTAGGGCCGGGCACGGTGGCTCATGCCTGTAATCCCAGCACTTTGGGAGGCCGAGGCGGGTGAATCACGAGGTCAGGAGATCAAGACCATCCTGGCTAACACGGTGAAACCCTGTCTCTACTAAAAATACAAAAAAAAATTAGCTGGGCGTGGTGGCAGGCGCCTGTAGTCCCAGCTACTCAGGAGGCTGAGGCAAGAGAATGGCCTGAACCCGGGAGGCGGAGCTTGCAGTGAGCGGAGATCGTGCCATTGAACTCCAGTCTGGGTGACAGAATGAGACTCCGTCTCAAAAATAAAAAAATAAAAAAATTAATATTACTTGCTACAGACTAAACCATTATATTTTAAAATAAATCAAATTTTCTTTTTCTTCTAGTATAAGAAACTTCTCAGCTGGGCACGGTGGCTCACGCCTGTAATCCCAGCACTTTGGAAGGCCAAGGTGGGTGGATCACCTGAGGTCAGGAGTTCGAGACCAGCCTGGCCAACATGGTGAAACCCTGTCTCTATTAAAAATATAAAAATTAGCCAGGTGTGGTGGCGTGTGCCTGTAGTTCCAGCTACTCGGGAGGCTGAGGCAAGAGAATGGCATGAACCCCAGAGGTTCAGGTTGCAGTGAGCCAAGATTGTGCCACAGCACTCCAGCCTGGGTGACAGAGCGAGACTCTGTCTCAAAAAAAAATAAAAAAAGAAAAGAAACTTCTCACAGATGCATAAATTTCACAGAAACAGAAGAATGTCAAGGATCTTAGTAAATGATGAACTTACTTGCTGCTTCTCAGAACTTTAAGAGCCTGTATATGCCTACATTGATTGCAGTACGTTGTTCTTGTGTTTACGAGGAAACTAGGTTAATTGTGCCAGGCTCCAATATTAAAATTAAGTCAGTAAGAGGGGTAGCATGGTTGACTATCTGTAGGAAACTGCTCTTCTGTATTTATAGTTGCCTCCCTGGCTGATTGATGCTTTTACCATACCAAGAAAGGGACTGAATGCAGCAACATCTAGGAAAATAAGGTCCTATTTTGTTAAGATGTGACAAACATCTGATAATTACTTTTGCATTCTTACACGCTGAAAAAATGTACTTCTTTCCTTACAATAAAAGAAAAAAATTGCAAAACAAAACAAAAATAAACTATTACAAAACTGATGTTGTGTAGGAATACATATGTTAAGAAAATATAGTTGACAGTCATTCCTGGCCAGGCGTGGTGGGTCACGCCTGTAATCTCAGCACTTTGGGAACCCGAGGTGGGTGGATCACGAGGTCTGGAGTTCGAGACCAGCCTGGCCAAGACAGTGAAACCTGTCTCTACTAAAAATACAAAAATTAGTTGGACATGGTGGCGGACACCTGTAATCCCAGCTATTTGGGAGGCTGAGGCAGGAGAATCACTTGAACCTGGGAGGCGGAGGTTGTGGTGAGCCGAGATTGTGCCACTGCATTCTAGCCCGGGCAACAGAGCAAGACTACATCTCAAAAAAAAAAAAAAGTCATTTCTAATATATTTGTCATTTTATATTACGGTAAAATATATGTAACCTAAAATTTACCTTTTTAGCCATTTTAAGTGTACAGTTCAGTGACATTAACTAATAATAAAATGATTAATACTTTTTACATTGTTAGGATTACATTATGCTTGGCTCTTACTTTCTCTACTGTCCTATGACTTAATATAAGTCCTCAGGTCAGTCCATCCATGAGCCTGGGGGGTCCTCTCTGCCTGACTCCATCCTCACTCTTTCCCAGACCCTATCCCTCTTGGCAACATCCAGGGACCTCCCCAGCGGACACAGACCATCCTCACTCATTTGGCTTCCTGGCATGCAGACCTCATGGGCTGGGGTATCATTTCAAGGAACAAGAGGCCTCCCTTGTCTATCCCAGGTCTGATGCCTGTCTTCTCAGCCCCCAAAGGCAGCTATTCCACCTATAGTTTAATTTTCGGTTACATTTTTCTGAATCTCCAATGTATACAAATCTCAGAGAATGTGAAAACTTTGTCTAAATTGTTTACCTGTGAGCCTGCCTCGGCCTCCCAAAGTGCTGGGATTACAGGTGTGAGCCACCACACCCAACCCAAACCTATTATAATACATGGACTGATGCTCATGGCCAGAGACAAAGTTCAACTCAGCATTAAGACCTCAGTGAGGCCAGGTGCGATGGCTCATGCTGGTAATCCCAGCACTTTGGGAGGCCGAGGCCGGAGGATAACCTGAGGTCAGGAGTTTGAGAGCAGCCTGGCCAACATGGTGAAACCTTGTCTCTACTAAAAATACAAAAATTAGCCAGGCATGGTGGCGCATGCCTGTAATCCCAGCTACATGGGAGCCTGAGGCAGGAGAATCGCTTGAACTCGAGAGGCAGAGGTTGCAGTGAGCTGAGATCATGCCACTGCACTCCAGTCTGGGCAACAGAGCAAGACTCCGTCTCAAAAAAAAAAAAAAAAAAAGACCTCAGTGTGTGCTCGTGGGGATATATTTCTATAGGACCGGAAGATGATACAGAGAACAAAGGAGAAGATAAGATGGAGAAAGGACATTTAAGGGGTCAGTAACTATGCCAAGTGCTTTGAGATGACAATGATACTTAACGATTAAAAGCCAGTTTGACTGTGTCTGATTATGTCACTTTACATCCCATTCCTGCCACTTTGGGTAGGGTCCTAAGTAAAGAGGATGTGGCCACAGTTAGTCTTACTTTGTTCATATCTAACATGTGAAGAAGAAATGTAACATTAGGAGTTTTGGAAAATGGAAATAATAAATGCATCTGAGAAATAACTAAAATGAATGATAATTTTAATTGAGTCCCTTTTTAGGTGTGCAACTCTGCTCAAAGTCATTGTCATAAACGACGTCATGTCACAGCTAATGTGTGCTATGGCTGGACCCATCTGATGGCTGACTAAATATCAGATGGGTCTCTCCCTGAAGAAAATGGTAAAGCCTGACACTGAACCTACCATTTTACTGACAGGAACATAAGTGGAACAGGGACAATCCTTACCTGGAGAAGTGCCCCACGTGGCTGCTAGCTGTGTGGAGACTTGATGGGAGTCCCAATTACCTTCGTCAAAGTATCTGTTAAAGAAAAAGTCATATTCAATGATACGTGTTAATGCATAGTAAGGAAGACTTTATTCGGGACCACTGCAATAGATTTAGGGACCGCCGTAATGGGGCCTTGCAGTGTGGGAGAGAGTGAGACTCAACTCTAAGTAACTCTAAGTACAGCATGGGCAAGTGGCAATTTATAGCCAAGGAACAGGGTGGGGACTAGTGGTTGGAAAATTACTAAGAATTAACATCAGGGGCAAGAGGGATTCTGGCTAAATTGATCTAATAGGATTCTTGCTGAAGACAAGCTGGGATGATCACTTAAGGGATGGTGGAGGATGAGGAACCTGATAAGATATAGAAGGTGATCAGATGTCTAAGGTGTGGGGGTCTTGCTAAACTAACTTAGCAGTGTTCTTGTTAAAACTGCATTTTACAAGAAAGTGCATGGATGGAGTTAAGAGAACGTTCCGGAGCCTGACTAATGTTTGGTTAAGAATAAAATTTTTTACACATCCTCCAAAATTGGAGAAAGAGAAGTGAGGCTATGTACTGAGAATGCAGAAACAGAAACCAGACGGATGCTGGATCCATGAGGACATTCTTGAACTTTGAAGAAGAGTTCTGGTCTGTTCACGCTATTATTTTGAAATGTATATGAAAAATAAACTCATTGCATTTGTATGCAGCTGTGTGTAAGTGTGTTTTATATCCTGATAGTAAAAATATGGCCATGCAACACGTGGGCTACAGGCTAATAAAAACAATATTCACACACCCAGACATACACACACACACACACACACACACACACACACACACAGCCCCAGATTCCTTCCTGGAAAATCCTTCGTTCTCATCAGCCTCTGCTCTCTCCACTGGCTTGCCTGTCCCTCTTTGGTTTTAGGTGTGGGAAATGATACAATGTTGCAGAGATGTGGGAAAGACTCAGGCAAGGAAAACAGAGAGTAGCAAAATAGCTAATAAAAGCAAAATGGTTAAATTATTCAAACAAATTTATAAATGAGGTGATACATATTTTATAAACATAAAACTGTTTCCAAGTCTATGTAGAAAAATGAGCCAAAGATACTCATGCCATCTCACCAGGTGAGAAGTTTCCAAAAGCAATTTGGCAGTGTCTAGGAAGATTTTAAAGGAACACCTTTTGACCCCACTGTTATGGAAGCAGGAGCTGGTTAGAGCCAAAGTAATGGCATTTTAAGTTCAGCTCCATCTTGAGATTAACTAAGGCACATTCCTTGCTGGTCACAACCCATAGTCATGTTTATAATTGAGGAAACAGCTTAACAATACCTAGGCTACCGGTGCAAGGATACACTCCTACAACAACACAAAATCCAGATGTCCCAATACCCATAACAATATATGCTTTCAAGTTACTTACAGTTATGGCTTTGATGTACTTACTAAAATGTCAAGGACCATTTTCTTTAAATCAACAGAATAGTAAATTTTGTCATGCTCTCAACCCATCTGCACGTAGACACAGCTTAGTTTAGTCTTTACATAGACAAGACACTTACATAAAAAAAACTTAAATACAAGGCATTTCTCCTCTTGCTTTCTGAGGATGCTCTACTCTATAGCTGAGTAGCTTTCAATAAACTCTCTCTTTTCAGTGCACTCTGCATCTCGCCTTGAATTCCTTCCTGCTAGAGATCCAAGAACCCTCTTTTGGGGTCTGGGTCAGGGCCCCTTTTTCTGGCAACACTATGAGTCTCCCCTACAAACATTTTGAAATTGGCTTATTTATGTCTAGGCATGATTATTCCAACATTGTTTCTCATATCAAAATAAGAAAAAATATATAAAAGTATAATAGTAAATGGAAAGTAACTGTGGCCTATCCATATGAAATACTATGGAAAGCTTTAAGATAACAAAATTTAAAAGAATCCAAAAGAAAGCTATCCACACCAAATTATCCGAGGCTTCAGAAGATCATGCTGGTGTCTACATACCAGCACAGTGGTGAGAAACGTGGTCTGTGCAGAGCAAGGATGGGCTAAGTGTCATGACATCAACACTTCATGCCTTCCTGAATTTGTACCCAATCTCTCCTTTCCTCTCTGTGCATTTATACTACACAATGCATACCTTTACACCAAGTCTTACTTTTAAACTATGAAAAGCACAATCAATACCAGGAATATACTACACCCTTTTTGTTTGTTTGTGTTTTGAGACAGGGTCTCGCTCTTTCACCCAGGCTGAAGTGCCGTGGATCCATCATGCCTCACGGCAGCCTTGACCTTCTGGGCTCAAGCGATCCTCCCACCTCAACCTTTCAAGTAGTTGGGACCACAGGCATGTGTCACCATGCCTGGCATTTGTGTGTGTGTATATAGATCTTTTTTTTTTTTTTTTGTAGAGGCAGGGTTATGCCATGTTGCCCAGGCTGGTCTTGAACTCCTGAGCTCAAGCAATCTTCCTGCTTCAGCCTCCCAAAATGCTGGGATTACAGGCGTGAGCCACCATGCCCAGCCCTACATTCTTTTTTTTTTTTTTTTTAGACAGAGTGGGGCTCTGTTGTCCCAGCTGGAGTGCAGTGACACGATCTCAGCTCACTGCAACCTCCACCTCCCAGGCTCAAGCAATTCTCGTGCCTCAGCCTCCCGAGTAGCTGAGACTACAGGCATAAATGCCCGGTTAATTTTTGTATTTTCAGTAGAGATCAGGTTTCAC
Source organism: Homo sapiens (assembly GCF_000001405.40). NCBI lineage: Eukaryota > Metazoa > Chordata > Mammalia > Primates > Hominidae > Homo > Homo sapiens. The sequence continues at coordinate 24,883,830 of NC_000015.10, read as the reverse complement.
CATGTTGGCCAGGCTAGTCTCAAATTCCTGACCTCAAGTGATACACCTGCTTCAGCCTCCCAAAATGCTGGAATTACAGGCATGAGCCACTGTGCCCAGCTTCAGCCCTACATTCTTGATAAATACTAGTAGTAACTAATATTATTATAATCATATAGTGAATATAATAAAACATATATCCACAAAGAAGCACAGATATAATTGCACATATTTTTCAAGGCTTTATCTGAAATGATAGAGTGTAAGATATTGCCAATGATGCCTGTTATTATCCAAAGTGCAATTGCAGGTGTAAAGCCTGGTGGAGGATGCAGGGACAGAGGTTGGAGTGCAGTGGTCAAGAGTGGAGTGTGTTTGTTGAGGGGGTAGGGATTATAAAACTGGCCCTGAGCCACCCAGTGGGTGTGCCCAGCTTCAGCCCCTGTGGGCTACTGTCCTCCCAGACAGCCAGATGACCTTTCTATAGTGCTCTAGGGTGAGCCCGAGGCTCTGGCCAAGGTGCCTTTCCTGCAGGCTGATGTACAGGGCTGTGTGTGCTAAGTGGGCACATCCTGGCAGAGACTGCCCACCGCAGACCATCCAAGGAATACGCTTGGCCTCCCTGCTTACTTGGCTGCAAAGCCGCTGGTTTCTGATTTTACTGGCTTCCTTCTTGACTGTCCAGAAGTTGGAATTTCACAGTACAGATAGTCCCCAACTTAAGATGGTTCAACTTACAATTTTTCAACTTTATGATGGTGTGACAGTGATAAGCATTCAGTAGAAACTGAACTTTGAGAATTCACACAACCATTGTTTTTCACTTCCAGTATTTTATGAATTACATGAGATATTCAACACTTTATTATAAAATAGACTTTGTGTTTGATGATTTTGCCCAAATGTAGGCTAATGTAAGTGTTTTGAGCAAATTTAAGTGCTCAAGGCTGGGCCAATCAATGATATTCAATAGATTAGATATATTAAATGCATTTCAACTCACTATATATATATATATTTTTTTTTTTGAGATGGAGTCTCGCTCTGTCGCCCAAGCTGGAGTGCAGTGGTATGATCTCGGCTCACTGCAACATCTGCCTCCTGGGTTCAAGCGATTCTTCTCCTCAGCCTCCTGAGTAGCTGGGATTACAGATGTGCACCACCACGCCCAGCTAATTTTTGTATTTTTAGTAGAGACAGGATTTAACCATGTTGGTCAGGCTGGTCTCGAACTCCTGACCTCATGATCCACCTGCCTCAGCCTCCCAAAGTGCTGGAATTACAGGCGTAAGCCACCGTGCCTGGCCAACTTAAGATACTTTCAATTTATGATGGGTTTATTGGGGACATAACCCCATTGTAAGTCGAGGAGCATCTGTGCTATGAAAGTGGAAGAAATCACACACTCTTAGTCTCTGTGATAGTATTCATTGTCAAAATTTTTGAAACTCATTAAATAAAAATCATGCTTGCTAAAATATTGCAAGTAGGATGACCACATAAACTTTAGGTAGTTTTTTTTCTTCCCTTTTAGCCAAATTTTATGTAAGATGTTTACCTTCAAAAATAAATTTTAATTAAAATCTGAATCTAGAGTAACTGAATTTTTTTTTTAAAGGCTTTGTAGCAAAAATGAAAGTTAGAGATTACAAGCCTGGAAAAAACAAACAAATGAACCGACTTTTGTATTTAATATTTAATCATTCGCACACAGAAGAACATAAAAATTCAAAATCAATTAGCAGGACACCTACAGCTTGGAGAAATGATACACTAAGGATATGAAGAGGCAGCTAGAAAGTGGTTAGGGAGAGGCCTTCATAGTCTACCTCTGAGAGCATCGGGGAAGGTGGAAGTGGATGAGGAGAAGGCTGTCAGTTGAAAACCCATGGCCACTTCAGATAGGAAGGATATCTTGTTCCGCCTCTAGCGCTCTTTTGCCTGCCCAGGATCTGATCCTAAAGCCAGGCTTTGTTCTGGTACCTTTCAGATAGAAGACTTGACGATTATACATACACATTCCTAAAACTGATACACCAAATAAAGCTGAGGAATAACTGATAAACCCAGAACTCATGAATATTGCATGAAATGACTTCAAAATCTAGATGCACTTTATGTAATTGTTAATATTTCCACGGTTCTTCGATTTTTAAATGCTCAGGCCTATGCTGGAACACGATTTTTTTTTAGTTTTTGTTTCACTCTGCTAGGGTGCCTTACTGTGACTTTCTCTCTCTCTCTCTCTCTCTCTCTCTCTCTCTCTCCCTCCCTCCCTCCCTCCCTCCCTCCCTCCCTCTCTCTCTCTCTCTCTCTCTCTCTCTCGGAGTTTCGCTCTTGTTGCCCAGGCTGGAGTGCAATGGCACAATCTCAGCACATTGCAACCTCTGCCTCCCAGGTTCAAGCAATTCTCCTGCCTCAGCCTCCCAAGTAGCTGGGATTACAGGTGTCCACCCCCATGCCCAGCTCATTGTTTTTTTTTTGTATTTTTAGTAGAGACAAGGTTTCACCATGTTGGCCAGGCTGGTCTCGAACTCCTGACCTCAGGTGATCCACCTGCCTTGGCGTCCCAAAGTGCTGAGATTACAGGCATGAGCCACCACATCCAGCCCTTACTGTGACTTTTTAAACCACACTCTTGATAGCAATGAAAATCACCTCCATATGCTTGAATTCCCTCTTGACTGCATTACCTGGGGCAGCAGTACCTTTCTATGCTTTGAACACCTGCCTATCTTCCATGCACAGCAGAGGACTTGCCCTGTGGAGGCTCAATTTTTTTTTAGTTCATAAAAGTGAAATGTAAAGCCTGCATGGACCGTCATTATTCAAATGTCACACAGGTAAAGCGAATATAATTTTGTTTTTTGTAGATTAAAATTTGTAGAGGTTTATGCCTGTAATCACAGCACTGCGGGAGGCCAAGGCGGGAGGATCACTTGAGCCCAGAAGTTCGAGACCAGCCTGGGCAATGTAGTAAGACCCGGTAGTGAGGCACAAGAATTGCTTGAACGCTGATGACAGAGGTTGCAGTGAGCCAAGATCATGCCATTCCACTCCAGCCTGGACAACAGAGCAAGACTCTGTCTCAAAAAAAAAGGCGTAAGTGTTAAAATGAAGAACTTGGGTTGAATGTCATATTTTATGAGTATAAATATGAATTTATGAGCACATATTAATTTTTTTATTTTGGCTTCAATTAAAAAATTCATCAGGCTCCCATTAGGGTTCCATTTTCAGGAAAGAAAAAGTATTTTCTGCCCTGTCTCTCCTACTGAATATAGCTATAAAACTTGGATAAAATGTATGGAACAGCTGTTTGAGGACTAAGTAGTAACAGAAATGAAGGAATAACACTGGACTGTGAAGTACTACTAAATTGGTGATGAATTTTAATTTTTACCACTCACTTATCCCCAGGCCTGAATTTAAGACAGGCAGAAACCCAGAAGTGAGGCTGTGGTGCAGACTGCGGGCTCCAGGAAAAGTTCGAGGATTGAAAACGGAACTCAAGAGTGAAGAATCCCCCTTTCCTCCCATCCCTCCACCACCACCCCCCTCTTTTAGAGGCAAGGTCTCACTCTGTCGCCCTTTTCTCCAATCTCTTCTACTCCACCTCTCAGACCATCATGTTGTCATGACAGTGGCTGCTCAGGGAGTTCACAAGAACAAAAACGAAAAGTGGGAAAACCTTTCTCTGCCAGGAGTCGTCATAGGTCCAAGACAGTGGGTCCAACTTCACCATTTTCCTTTTTTTCTCTTTCCTCTGACCGCCTACCCCAGAAGTAGAAAAATATTGGCCAGAGGAGACATAAGGAAACGAAAATTACTGTGAAGTTATGGAAGGAAAGATGCTTGGGAAATGGACCTCTTGGAGTTGCTGATTAACTCAACAGGTTCACCCACTCCTCTCCAACAGCCCAAGTGTGAATCTCATCCAAATTAGCATACCAAAGACTGAATTGCCCCAACACCAGACAGAACAGTGGGTGATAGGAAGGCTAGAGAGTATATAATTTTGGTTTTATGGGTCATTCTGTCTCTTGCAACTACTGCCATTGTAGCATTAAGGCAGCTATCGGCAATACAAAAATGAACAGCATAGCTGTGTTCCAATAAATATTTATTTAAAAAAGAAAGCAAACATGCTGGGCAGAATTTGACCCTCAGGCCATATGCAAACAAAAAAATATGTGATGTTGTTCATTCCAGCACAAGGGTGACAGACATGGTCTCTGCAGAAAGAAGACTGGTTTTGTATTCACACTTCGCCACTAATTGCTGCTTTGAAAAGGCAAATGCATTTTACATTTATTTTCTCATCTAAACAATGTTTCATTTCATAGAAAACATCACACATATATTTTCTGAGCTTCAATTAAATGTATAATTTCTTTCTTTCTTTTTTTTTTGTAGAGACAGAATCGCACTCTGTCCTCCAGGCTAGAGTGCAGTGGCGGGATCTCGGCTCACTGCAACCACCGCCTCCCAGGTTCAAGCAATTCTCCTGCCTCAGCCTCCCGAGTAGCTAGGACTACAGGCGAACACCACCACCCCCGGGTAATTTCTTTTGTATTTTAGTAGAGACGAGGTTTCACCGTGTTGCCCAGGCTGGTCTCGAACCCCCGAGCTCAGGCAATCTGCCTGCCTCGGCCGCCCAAAGTGCTAGGATTACAGGCGTGAGCCACCGCACCCGGCCTAAATGCATAATTTCAAAAGAATACGTGGCGGAAAATAATCACTTAAAAAGTACTAGCTGAAAGTAGTATTGTCCTTTTGCATTCCGGAGGACTATATTTAAAAATACTTTTTTAAATATATTTTAAAAATATATTTTTGAAAATTCAACCTTGTATAATTTTTCTTAAATTACAAATATTCTATAAGGAGATACTAAAACTCTGGGTTTCGAAAGTGTGACCCTGAAGCCTCTACAAGTCCTCTCATATTAAAGGTATATTAGTGGAAAAGATAAACAATAAAGAATATATAAAGAATCTTAAGGACAATACAGAAATGATTAAAGTAGTATCTCATTTCTTAAAAATGACAAGTTCAGTATTTTTGAAAAGGATTTCGTTTTTTTCAAAGAACGCAAAAAAGATAAAATTGTTAATATTGAGAGGGAAGGATATACAATTACTGGTCAATGTTTATGTAACAAGAGGAGGGGCTGTTACAGAAATACAATACAATTTTTCATGGGAAAACAACAAGCAAACTCAAGGCTAATGCACACATAAAGTGCAAGACCAGAACAATTATACGAAGCCTAGAAAGCAAATTTTTACGAGTAAAACGCAGGTTAACGCTTGCGAAGAAAGGGAGACTCCCGGCGGGCGCCATAAGCGGAACAGACCCTCGGGGCGCACGGAAACGGAAACCGGAAGGAGAAAAGGCGCCCCAATTCCGCCTGCGCTGTGCAGGCGCGCCGAAGATCGGCCCCTGCGGGCTGCCGTTCTCCCCAACTGTCAGGTGACCTTCCCGTAGCGCACTGCGGGTTTGTCGGCCGCTCAGAACGGTGGCACATTTCTTGCGGGCTGCGTGGCAGCGGTGGTTGCGGTAATAGCCATGTGGGTAGCAGTGAGACCCGTGGGGCTTCAGGAGCCCTAGACCCGCCACGGAAACTTGAGCGAATACGCCAGAGCTCTCTATCAGATTGGAAAGCGTTTTAAAGAATAACTTAACAAGGCTTTAACCTAAGAAGTCCCGTTCATTTTGTGAACTGTAGTGGTACTGAATATATGTATGGAAACACACACTCATTTACTCAAGGATTTAATGTGTCACAGTTAAGAGTCAACTAGTTTTACAATCAAATTTTATGTGTTTGTCCATGGTAACACAATCGTGTACATGCATGTTTGTAAGTGAAAGAATCAGCCACTAGCACTCACATCGTTCTTTAACCCGTGCACTACTTAAGAGCAGGTGACTGGAAAAGTGAGCATGGGCCAGGCTTCCCTGTATCGTTGCTGGACATTATTAGATTGCATTTTTTTTCTTTTTTAGACGGAGTTTCGCTCTGTCGCCAGGCAGTGGCCCGATCTTGGCTTACCACAACATCCTCCTCCCGGGTTCAAGCGATTCTCCTGCCCCAACCTCCCGAGTAGCTGGGATTACAGGCGCGCGCCACTGCGCCCGGCTAGTGTGTTTGTGTGTGTGTGTGTGTGTGTGTGTGTGTGTGTGTTTTGTAGAGATGTTTCACCATATTGGCCAGGCTGGTCTTGAACTCCTGACCTCAGGTGATCCGCCGGCCTTGGCCTCCCAAAGTGCTGGGATTACAGGCGTCAGCCACCGCGCCCGGCCTAGGTTGCATTTTTTAATTCCACAGCATCTATGCATTATGTTTAAGTTTTAAAACAAATTGTAAAAATCCTGCTCAAATCAGCAGTCATTCTTGGTTCCTGGACCCCACCTTTTTTTCTGTACTTATTTAGGTTGCCATTGGTTCCTGTTTCTGTTGATGCTAGATGGCACTGTCAGCACATGGTTCTTCATTCCCTAAAGCTAGTGTAGCACGTGCTTCTGAAATACAAATAAGGTGACTTTAAGGCATGAAAGCAACCTGGACTTGGAGCTGAAATGTCCTTTTCCAGGTGGAGAATTCATTATTGAACTAGCATCTTTCGTAGGGAGGTCTAACTTGAAGAGTAGATTTTATCTGAAAATACGAAAATTTTCTGTGGCCATTTTTCCTGGACCTCAGGCTGTCTCACATTTTCCCCACCCATACTTTTCCTTTGTCTGTACAGAATCTGAACCTAAACCCCATATATTTTTTTCTTCAAATGTATGAGACCCAAATTCTCATTTTACAATTTCAACAGCTGTGTTCCTAAGTGAGCACACCCTAGCTAATGTCTGGAACTACAGAAAATTATAAAATACCAACACATTGACACGGCATTAAATATCTTAAAAATCTAGCCCTGGTATATATTTCTAGCTTCCTTCAAGTGTACTGAAATTGCTGCTCTCCTTGCGATGTCTCAATTTTTTTTGCATTCTATACATTCCCATTCTCTACCTCAATACTAATCATCCTTTGTTATTTATTAGTTCTAATTTACATGGTTTTCAGCTGCTTATTCTTCATCTATTCAATCACAAACTGCCTCTTCGAGGAAACCTTCAATTACCACTTAAATTTGGGTTGTATGCTCATGCATTTTGTGGATTTCAACAGAGTAATGCACATTTCCTACTACAGCATCTTTTTTTTTTTTTTTTTTGAGATGGAGTCTCGCTCTGTGGCCCAGGCTGGAGCGCAGTGGAGCAATCTCAGCTCACTGCAACCTCTGCCTCCTGGGCTCAAGCGATTCTCCTGCCTCGGCCTCCTGAGTAGCTTGGATTACAGGCGCACGCCACCACACTCAGCTAATTTTTGTATTTTTAGCAGAGAAGACGTTTCACCATGTTGGCCAGGCTGGTCTCAAACTCCTGACCTCAGGTGATCCACCATCTCAGCTTCCCAAAGTGTTGAGATTAAAGGCATGAGCCACAGCTCCTGGACCTACAGTATCTTTAATCTGATTTTTATTGCCTATTTGTTGAACGTCTGCTTGACTTGTGCTTTAAATAAAGGAGAAATGTATTTTGGGTTGTAGATGATACTTATGTGGCCAAAGGAAAAAAAATGTACACAAGTGATAAAGACATTAGTCTGCAAGACAAATTAAAAACAAATATTAAAAGGCAAGATTTGAACCTGCATAAGTGTTAGCAAGTAGAAAGAGTGTTGAACACTCCTTATTTTTAAAATTTTTATTTTTTTTGTTTTTTTTCTTTTTTTTTTGAGACAAAGTATCACTCTGCTGCCCAAGCTGGAGTGCAGTGGCACAGTCTCGGCTCACTGCAACCTCCACTTGCCAGGTTCAAGCGATTCTCCTGCCTCAGCCTCCCGAGTAGCTAGGACTGCAGGCATGTGCCACCATGTCTGGCTAGTTTTTGTATTTTTGGTAGAGATGGGGTTTCACTATGTTGGCCAGGCTGGTCTCGAACACCTGACCTCAGGTGATCTGCCCGCCTCAGCCTCCCAAAGTGCTGGGATTACAGGCATGAACTACCGCACCCGGCCTAAAATTTTTATTTCTGTAGAGACAGTGTTTTGCTATGTTGCCTAGGCCTTTCTCAAACTCCTGGGCTCAAGCAGTCCTCACACCACAGCCACTTAAATTGCTGGGATTACAGGTGTGAGCTACCATGCCCAGTGGAAAACTCTTATACATACATATTAAAGTTCAATGGGGGGAAAATTGATTTTTCTATCAATGTTCTAGGAAATTGAATATTCTTCTGTTGCGGTGGGGGAGGGAATAAAAATCTCACCTTTGACCTCACATTACATACAAAATGATCACCAGATGGTTCATTGACCTGAACTTAAAAACGATTTAATGTAGCATTTAGATTGAAATTGAGAAAAATAATTTCATGACTATTGTGTAAAGCACAATTTCTGAAACTAGACTTAGGATGTATTTATCATAGAAAAGATATTCTAACATAGTTGATGTAAACAAAGATTCTGGAGACAGACAAAGTCAAGCTCAGGTTTTTCTACTCTTTTCCTGTAAGGCTTTAGCTCAGATTCACAACTGGAACTTGGGAGTGGTAATATTGCCTACCTCTTGAAATGTTGTGAGAATTGAATGAACTAATAATACTTAAAACCTGTAGACTAATAGCACATCTATACTAAACATGAAGTCAGCATTTTCTCATACAGTGTTTTCTAAGGAATTGAAATAGTTATTATTTGAGTCAATTGTAAAATGCATCATTATTTTATGTCACAATATAGGAATAAATTCGTAGACTATAGGACAAATACATCTTATCACTTACAATTTTATATTATTACTGAAAAAAACTTTCAACTACTATAAATGCAGGTATTAGTCTTATATCACTTCTATGATGACAAAGATGGAAAATATAAGCAGAATACACTAACAACAGCATTCCTAAAATTCCTGTCACTCAGATCAAACTCTTCTGAATCACCTTCAACACACCCTGTCCATGATTTACCCCACATTGTCATCATCTTTGCTAATCAGGAACTTTGGTGACATCACATTTCTTGACAGAGTCCTACTCTCCTATTTATGAGATTATTCAACCTACTGACAGCATCTCTGTAAGTTTTGATGGTGATCATATCACCAGAAGACGTCAATCAAAGGTTTTCAGATCAAGTTCATGCATGTGCAGACAAGGACAGCCATATTATGACTAGATTCTGGCAAACTTTGTTTTTACAATGTCAATTTTAAGATGCATCTGTACTTGAACGTTGTTAAAAGGTGCACTCTAACATCAGCTGATTACACTATTCTTTCATTTACTGCCCACTTATCAGTATAAACCCACGGTGGATAGACAGTTTTGCATCTACCACCTTTACTCTAAAGCCTGAGAACCAAAGCTCATCAGCCCTCATTTTCCACTCTGACATTGGTCACTCCTACTCCAGATTGACATATGGCTCGTTTTTGGTCTGCCACTCTGCCTTTTTTTTTTTTTTTTTTTTTTTTGAGACAGAGTCTCACTCTGTCACCCAGGCTGGAGTGCAGTGGTGCGATCTTGGCTCACTGCAAGCTCCACCTCCCGGGTTCATGCCATTCTCCTGCCTCAGCCTCCCAAGTAGCTGGGACTACAGGCGCCTGCCACCACGCCCGGCTAATTTTTTGTATTTTTAGTAGAGACGAGGTTTCACTGTGTTAGCCAGGATAATCTCGATTTCCTGACCTCGTGATCTGCCAGCCTTGGCCTCCCAAAGTGGATTACAGGCGTGAGCCACCGCAGCGGGCAGCCTTTTTTTTTTTTTTCTGAAGATGAATATTTAAGTGAGTTTGTTTTTTTCTCATGGAGTGAATGAAGTATGCTGTGGGAGGTGCGAGGTTTCTTGAATTGCAAATGTCCAAATTACTAGTACATACATATTTGCTATTCTGATCTCAGAAGTGAGAAATGTGGTCTAGATCAGCTGCATCTCTCACTCCAGGTCATCAGATCCCAGGAACTAATTTCCTCATTGAAGGTAGGAATGAGATGTAGAGAATATACTCCGTGATTTCAGACCATAAAAAGAAGAGTTGGCCAGGCACGGTGGCTCACGTCTGTAATCCCAGCACTTTGAGAGGCCGAGGCAGGTGGATCACGAGGTCAGGAGATCGAGACCATCCTGGCTAACACGGTGAAACCCCGTCTCTACTAAAAATACAAAAAATTAGGCAGGCGTGGTGGTGGGCACTTGTGGTCCCAGCTGCTTGGGAGGCTGAGGCAGGAGAATGGTGTGAACCGGGGAGGCGGAGCTTGCAGTGAGCCAAGATTGCACCACTGCACTCTAGCCTGGGCAACAGAGCGAGACTTTGTCTCAAAAAAAAAGAGAGACAAAATATTTGCAGGAGAATTGCTTGAACCCAGGAGGCAGAGGTTGCAGTGAGTCGGGATCGTGCCATTGCACTCCAGCCTGGGTGACTGAGCAATACTCCGTTTCAAAAAAAAAAAAAAGAAACAAAAACAAAAGAAGAGTCTTGATTTTGTGGTTGTCCCTGGGACTGTGGTATGTAGTCCCATGGCTTTGTAGACTAGGTATGGTTCCTGAACACACCCTCTTGCTGTCCAGCAGAGTGATGTCGTTGTGCTATGGGAATCCCTGTTGCTTTTTTTTTGCGGGCAAGGCGGGAGTAATTGGTAAGCTGATTCTAAAATTCATATGGAAATTCATGAGATCTAAAAGAACCACACTGGTAATGAGAAGCAGAACAAAGTTGGATTATGGGATTTCTAAACAATATAAAGTGATAGTAATGAGGACATTGTGGTACTGGCATAAGGACAGTGATATAGGTCAATGGAATATAAGTGACTGTCCAAAGATTAACCCTGACATTTATGGTCTATGGATTGCAAAAGTTGCCAAGGCAATTCAATGAGGAAAACTATTTTTTTTTTTTTTTTTTTTTTTTTGAGACGGAGTCTCGCTCTGTCACCCAGGCTGGAGTGCAGTGTGATCCGCCCGCCTCAGCCTCACAAAGTGCTGGGATTACAGGCGTAAGCCACCGCACCCAGCTTTTTTTTTTTTTTTTTTTTTCGAGACGGAGTTTCACTCTTATTGCCCAGGCTGGAGTGTAATGGTGGGATCTCAGCTCACCACAACCTCTGCTTCCCAGGTTCAAGCGATTCTGCTGTCTCAGCCTGCCAAGTAGGTGGGATTACAGGCATGTTTCATCACACTCAGCTAATTTTTTTATTGTTAGTAGAGACGGGGTTTCTCCATGTTGGTCAGGCTGGTCTCGAACTCCCAACCTCAGGTGATCCGCCCGCCTTGGCCTCCCACAGTGCTGGGATTACAGGCGTGAGCCACTGCGCCCAGCCTAAACTATATTTTCCAAAAAAAAATGTATTTTTGACTGGGTATGGTAGGTGGGTGGATCATCTGAGGTCAGGAGTTTGAGACCAGCCTGGCCAAAATGGTGAAACCCTGTCTCTACTAAAAATACAAAATTAGCCTAGTGTGGTGGCAGGCACCTGTAATCCTAGCCTCTTGGGAGGCTGAGGCAGGAGAATCACTTGAACCCAGGAGGCAGAGGTTGCAGTGAGCTGAGATTGTGCCACTGCACTCCAACCTGGGCAACAAAAGTGATACTCATGTCTCAAAAAAAAAGTTATTTTAAAAATGTATCTTCATGGTCTGAAATTAATGGTTTCTAAGATATAACACAAAAAACACAAGTAACAGAAGCAAAAATAGATAAATTCATCTATTTTTTAAAATGTTTGTCATTCAACATATACTATCAAGAAGTATAAAACAACCCTAAAAAGAGGACAAAAGGCCGGGCGTGGTGGCTTACGCCTGTAATCCTAGCACTTTGGGAGGCTGAGGTGGGCGAATCATGAAGTCAGGAGATCGAGACCATCCTGGCTAACATGGTGAAACCCCGTCTCTGCTAAAAGTACAAAAAAATTAGCCAGGCGTGGTGGTGGGCGCCTGTAGTCCCAGCTGCTTGGGAGGCTGAGGCAGGAGAATGGTGTGAACCGGGGAGGCGGAGCTTGCAGTGAGCCAAGATTGCACCACTGCACTCTAGCCTGGGCAACAGAGCGAGACTTTGTCTCAAAAAAAAAAGAGACAAAATATTTGCTAGTCATATAGGTAATGAGGGTCTACTGTTCAGAATATATAAAAGATTGTCACATCTCAAAAAATAAAAGACAAATACCAACTAAAAATGGGTAAATTGTATAAATAGACATTTCTTCAAAGAATATGTATCCCCAAAGGGCACATAAAAAGATGATTGACATCATTAGTCCTTCAGCAATGCAAATCTAAATCACCGTAAGATATACTTCATAAAATTAAAGGCATATTTTTAAGTTAAGGAAGCCAGTTTGAAAAGATGACAGACTGTGCAATTCCATGTATATGACACCCTGGGAAAGGTAAAATAATAGAGATAGTAAACAGATTAATGCTAACTAGGGACTCTCCAAGGAGGACAGTGAAATAGGTGAAGTAGATGGAATTTCTTTAGGGTAATAAAAACTTCCTGCATGGTCGCTACATCATATTGTTTTTGAAACCCTGCATAACTTTATAATACAAACAGTGAACCTAAATGTACGGAAATTAAAAATATTATTTGTAAGCCAGGCATGGTGGCTCACGCCTGTAATCCTAGCACTTGGGAGACTTGGGAGACCGAGGTGGGTGGATTACCTGAGGTCAGGTATTTGAGACCAGCTTGGCCAACATAGTGAAACCCCATCTCTGCTAAAAATACCAAATAATTAGCCGGGCGTGGTGGTGCGTGCCTGTAATCTCAGCTACCTGGGAAGCTGAAGCAAGATAATTGCTGGAACCTGGGAGGCGGAGGCTGCAGTGAGCCAAGAACACACCATTGCACTCCAGGCTGGGTGACAGAGTGAGACTCTATCTCAAAAAACAAAGAAACAAACAAACAAAAAACCAAAAAAAAAAAATTATTTGTAGGTTGAGGGATCCCATAGAGGAATACAGAGAAAATAATTATTTGTAGGTTGAGGGATCCCATAGAGGAATACAGAGAAAATAAGAAAAATGAATAAGAAATGTATGATATAACCTCACTAAAGGAAGCTGGGAGGCGGGGGAAAGAACTGACCTAAGTAACTTGGGTACAAAGTGAAGATTCTGCATCTAAAGGTCCAAGAAGTTGTCTATGAGCACTGTACTTTAGTTGGTAATGTTGTTCTTCATGAGAGTGTGGATGAACAATTCTGAAGCCACTATGCATGTAGCCTCTAACTTGGTGATTAAGTTAACAAGGCCAACTCACTCACTGTTAGAGTGGGGGTTACAACCAAGTAGTGGGAATGGGGAGATTGATTCAAGTTATATTATATTCATGTAGTGCTGGAGACATTAGTAGGAATTTATGTTTAAGTTAATCAGGTTATATATGAACATATGAGGAAATATTTACACATATGTGTATATGTGTGGGTTAGTATACACAGGTACGTTTCATTGTTTTGTCAGCTGACTACTCCTCAAATCGACAGATGACCCAGTATCAGTGAATATACCTGGGTCTGTATCTTTGTTTTAAAAGCCATTTTCCAATAAAAGAAACTAGGACCCTTGAAGAAATGATGGGTACCAGGCTTGGGCACGAAATAAACACAATTGGCCTGGAGGACCCTGTAGTGCCTGAAAGTAAGAAACTATGAAACATTACAATTGAACCACCAAACAAGCAAAATCTAACCAAAATAATGTGGCTATTTCAAAATGATATGGGAGCCAACTGAGAGACCTTCCAATGGCCAACAATGGAACAATTCGAGCTATGAAATAAAGGAGTATAAGGGAGATGTGAACTGAATATATCTAATTTCATATCATATTCAATACAGTATAAATAAATGGTATGAAATCATGGTGGAGAACAGGCCAACTGTATACAGTAAAGAGTTCTCAACTCTTGTTTTAGGTCCTCAGTTCATAAGGAGGTAGAGCATAACTTTCTTGTTCTTAAGTATGTGCTATGTATGCTGACTTATTTTCAAAAAGTGAAACAGGGAAAGTGGAGAAAGAAATAATTTTACAGTAAAGAAATTTGACAAAGGCTAACTTGTCCAGGTAATCAAATTGCTATCAACAGGCATGAATCATGTTGATAGTAGACACCCGTGATATGATGTGGTTACAATGACATTTTCTCTCAGTGATCTTCCTTCCCCAAACCCAACTCCAGTATAATCATGAGAAAAATGTCAGAGAAATCCCAAATTGGGGATGTTAATGTCATCAATAACAAGGAAAGTCTGAGAAACTGTCACAGGCAGAAGGAACCTAATGAGATGGGATTTCTAAATGTGATGTGGTCTCCTGGAGGGAATCCTGGAACACAAAGTGTTCATTCGGTAGAAGAAAAATTCTAAATAAAATGTGAATCATAGAGAAGGATAATGTATACTACTGAATTATGAATTGTGACAAATATCACCCACTAATGTAAGGGATTAATAATAAGGGAAACTATATGCTAAGCATAAGGAAATGATCTGTATTATCTTGGCAACTGCTGTGTATATCTAAACTATTCTAAAATTTAACAAGTTTCTTTTTTATAAATTCCCTTCCCAGTATAATAAGCCAAACCTTGTCAATATTGTTGAAAACCCCTGAGTGCATATCCCCATTTTTTTTGAGACACGGTATCACTCTGTAGCTCAGGCTGGAGCGCTGTGGTGTGATCATGGCTCACTTTAGCCTCGACCTCCCGGGCTCAAGACATCCTGCTGCCTCAGCCTCCCTAGTAGCTTGGACCACAGGTGTGCACCACCATGCCTGGCTAATTTTAAATTTTTGTTGTTGTGGTTAGAGATAGGGTCTGGCTATGTTGCCTAGGCTAGTCTGGAACTCCTGGCCTCAAGTGATCCTCCCACCTCGTCCTCCCAAAGTGCTGGGATTACCGGTGTGAGCTATTGCACCTGGTCTCTCCTTTTGTATTTCTAAGTAATACATTGTTCAGTTTTTCTTAACACCCACATACATGTGTCTAAATTAATGCATATCTCTATTGTAATAATGAGACCCATGAGACTAATCCATTTTGTAGGAAATTCCACAAAACACCTGACTGGTACTTTTCAAAAGAATTCAGGTTATACAAAATAATTGAACACTGAGAAACTGTTGCAGGTTGGAGAAGATCTGACACAGCAAGCAGACCCTAGATTGGCACCCAGTGATTCCCACCTGCTGGTGAACACAACCTTGCATTCTAATCCTCTCCCTGTAAGTGTGGGCAGCAACCTTGACTTATTTTGAAACAAGAGAATAGAGCACAGCTGAAGGTACATCACATGGGTAATTATGCTATGTAAAATCATTACTTCTGTCTTGCTAGCAAACTCTCCCCTTGTAGCTTTGATGGAGCATTCTGCCATGTGGGAGAAGCCAACATGGGAAGGAGCTGAATGCAGCCTCTGGACAACAGCCAGCCAAGGAATGGAGGATCTTAATCCAATAGCCAGTCCCTAAATTTACAGTTAATTCAAACTCCCTTTCAAATAACACTCTATCAGTTCACAAGTAGTGTGAGTTGCCTATAATAAGGAAACAATAGTCATTTGTACTTTGGTAATTTGTACTATTGCTGTCATTCATTGCATTTATATATGAGCATTCATGCATATGTATATGTGTGTGTGTATATATATATATATACACACACACACCCATATACATGCACACACACTCAAACTATAAACATAAGAATACCTCATCAAATAAATGGCTACAATTTTTGTTTTTAACAAACTGTTATCTGTTATATCAACTAAAATATGAAAAAGTTTTTATTTCATATGGCAACTACTAAAATATTTAAAAATAAAAAGAAAATATAATGATATGCTAAGAAGAGAAAATTGGATCATATGAAATTCTCAATTAAAACCATAAAGGGAAGCAAACAAATGGAAGACAGGAGGAGGAACAAAGAACAAGGGCAGCAAATGAAAAGCAGAAATAAACATGGTAGATAGCAATCTGCTATTATCAATAATCACATTGACTTTCAATGGCTCAAAACCACCAATGAAAAGACACAGACTGTTGGAGTGGATCAAAAAACAAGACTTAACCATATGTTCTCTAGAGAAAACTTATTTAAGGCCGGGCGCAGTGGCTCACGCCTGTAATCCCAGCACTTTGGGAGGCCGAGGCGGGTGGATCATGAGGTCAGGAGATCGGGACCATCCTGGCTAACATGGTGAAACCCTGTCTCTACTAAAAATACAAAAAATTAGCTGAGCGTGGTGGCGGGCGCCTGTAGTCCCAGCTACTCGGGAGGCTGAGGCAGGAGAATGGCGTGAACCAGGGAGGCGGAGCTTGCAGTGAGCCGAGATCACACCACTGCACTCCAGCCTGGGCGACAGAGTGAGACTCCGTCCCCCCCAAAAAAAAAAAACTTATTTAAATATAAAGACAGATACAGGGAAATGTAAATTAAAATCAAAATGAGATATTATACCTGTTACAAGGCTATTATTAAAAAGAGTAAAGATAACAGGTGTTGTAAAGGAAACCCCTGCACACTGTTGATGAGAATGTTAATCGGTACAGCCATTATCGAAAAAAGTATAGAGGCCCCTCAAAAAATTAAAAATAGAACTACCATAAGATCTAGCAATCCCAACGCTGGCTATATATCCAAAGAAAATGAAATCAGTATGTTGAAGAGATACCTACACTCATGTATATTTTAGCAGTGTTCAAACCACTATGAGGCAGAAATTGTTAAAACAGGAAAAATAGATGAATCCACTATTATAGTTGGTGACTTCAACACTCCTCAATGAGAAGTGTTTAACATTGTTCACAATAGCAAACATACGGAATCAACCTATGTGTCCGTTGACAGATAAAGAAAATTATATATATAATCCCCAATGGAATACTACTGAGGCATATAAAAAGGAAATCCTGTCATTTGCGACAACATGGTTGAACCTGGAGTACATTATGTTAACTGAAATGTTAAGCATACAAAGATAAATACCTCAAGATCTTACTCATGTGAAATCTAAAAAATGTGATTTCATACAAGTGGGGATGTAGAACGGTAGTTACCAGAGCCTGGGGTTGAGGGTGGGGTTGGGCAGAAGTTTTGTGGATGGATACAAAATTTCAGTCAGAGAGGAGGAATAATTTCAAGAGATCTATTGTACCATATGGTTTCTCTAGTTAAAAACATAAGTCTTATTTTTAAAACGCTAAAGATTAGCTGGGCATGGTGGTGTGCACCTGTAGTCCCAGCTACTCAGGAAGCTGAGGCAGGAGGATTGCTTGAGCTCAGGAGGTCTACACTGCAGTGAGCTGTGATCAAACCACTGCACTCCAGCCTAGGTGCAGAGCGAGAGCCTGTGTCTATTTAAAAAAATGCTTAAAAAGTGGATAGAAAGTGTTCTCTCCACAAAAATGATAACTATGTGAGGTAATACACATGTTAATTAGCTGGATTTAGCCATTCCACAATGCACATTATTATTCAAACCTCATGTTATACATAGTACATACATCTCATTTTATCTGTTATTTAATAAAAATGGAGACATATTAACTGAAAGTAAATAGATGGAACAAAATATAGCAAGCAAATAGAAAAAGCAGGAGTAGCTATATTAATTTCAGAAAAAGCTGACTATACAGTCAGAAAAATTATCAGGGAAATAGAAAGGCATTACATAATAATAGTGGGGTCAATTTTCCAAGAAGATATAATAATTCTAACATGTAGCAACAGAACATAAAACTACGAGGCAGAAACCGTTAAAACAGGAAAAATAGATGAATCCACTATTACGGTCGGTGACTTCAACACTCCTCTATGAGAATTAAAAATAAAATCCTAAGCCCCCCAACTGACTGAACAGACAGGACCGCAGGGAAACCATACAAACTGAGTTTCCAGTCATGATGGGACAGGAAGTGGGACATGCCTCGTTATCATCTGTCTCTTTTGCAGTTTAGACACAACAACTGACCAGCATTCATATTAAAATAGAGATCATAAGAATGAAGGAATGAACTCTTCTTGGTGGCAATAAGATATCAAATTATAAATAAGACCTAAGGCCATGACAGGCAAGGGTTAAGTCACTCACCCCTATAGTTGAAGAATAAACTATGTTCTAACTGACAGGAGGTTTATCTTTTTCTCTAGCAGCTAAGCAAGCACTGACTTCCACATAAACAATCTTAAAACAATTTGCAGCTCATCCACCGCCAGACGCTAACTCCAGCCTCTGTTCCAACAGCCATCGCTACAGCCTTGATTGCACAAGAGACTGATTTCAGTAACTTTCTCCTGATAAGAGCCCACCAAACATGGACTGGGTCTGACTGGTTTCTAGAGATTGTGTACTTGTCTGCCTTTGTGTCCTGAAAGGGGCTTTTGTGTGTAGGGCCTAACTGTAATACATTTAAATGTTAAGTCTCAGCTGGGCGTGGTGGCTCACACCTGTAATCATAGCACTTTGGGAGGCCAAGGCGGGTGGATTACCTGAGGTCAGGAGTTCAAGACCAGCCTGGCCAACATGGTGAAACCCTGTCTCTACTAAAAATACAAAAATTAGCTGGACATGGTGGCAGGTGCCCGTAATCCCAGTTATTTGGGAGGCTGAGGCAGGTGAATCGCTTGAACCTGGGAGGCAGAGGTTGCAGTGAGCCACGATGGTACCATGGCACTCCAGCCTGGGGGACAGAGTAAGACTCTGTCTCAAAAAAAAAAAAAAAAAAGCTCAGTCTCCACACCAAGGTGAACATGGGTCATAGGTTACGTGCATGTTTGTTCAGTATACATGCTGTAGGGCTACCTTCAAGAATATTTATAGCTCTTTTTCTTTCCAAATTTATAGATCTCATGATTTTTATGTTAACAAATATATACCCTAAAACCCCAATAAAATTAAGATAGAAATCAATAAAAGGCACATAACTGGTAAACTTCAAAATACATGGAGATTAACTAACACACTTTTAAATAACACATGATGCAAGAAATCTCAAGAGAAAATTAAACAACATTTTGAACTAAGTTTAAATTAAAATGCATCTTATCAAAATTTGTAGAATGCAGTGAGGGAGCATAGGGGGGAAATGTATCTATTAAAAACAAAGCAAACAAACAAAAAAAAACATTGGCCAGGCACAGTGGCTCACACCTGTAATCCCAGAACTTTGGGAGGCTGAGGTGGGCAGATTACCTGAGGTCAGGAGTTGGAGACCAGCCTGACCAACATGGCGAAACCCCGTTTCTACTAAAAATACAAAAATTAGCTGGGCGTGGTGGCGGGCGCCTGTAATCCCAGCTACTAGGGAGGCTAAGGCAGGAGAATCGCTTGAACCCGGGAGGCAGAGGTTGCAGCGAGCCGAGATTGCGCCATTGTATTCTAGCCTGTGTGACAAAAGCAAAATTCCACCAAAAAAAAAAAAAAAAAAAAAAAGAAAAGAAGAGGGGCCGGGAGCGGCGGTTCTTGCCTGTAATCCTAGCACTTTGGGAGGCCGAGGCGGGCGGATCACAAGGTCAGGAGATCGAGACCATCCTGGCTAACATGGTGAAACCCCGTCTCTACTAAAAATACAAAAAAAATTAGCCGGGCGTTGTGGTGGGCGCCTGTAGTCCCAGCTACTTGGGAGGCTGAGGCAGGAGAATAGTGTGAACCCGGGAGGCGGAGCTTGCAGTAAGCAGAGTTCACGCCATGGCACTCCAGCCTGGGCGACAGAGAGAGACTCCCTCTCCAAAAAAAAAAATAATAATAAAATAAAAATAAATAAATAAATAAAATTTAAAAAAGAAAAAACATCTAAAAATCGATAATCTAAATTTCCTCCATAGGAAACTTAAAAGTAGAGCAAACGAAATCCAAAGTAAGCAGGAGAAAAGAGAGAGTACTGTAAATAAAGTGAAAGCTAAGTAAAAGATAAAGTAACTGGAATTTTCAAATGAGTATTGAGAGTTTAATAGTTTCCAGAACGCAGATGTGTCCACAGTTAACTAGGAAAACAGAACACCCTAAACTGAACTCCTGCTTATGAACATGCAGGGGTGGCTCCCCCTGAAATGAGGAGACATGAATCTTCAGGAATGATTAGGCAAACATATACAAAGCAGGGCAATTCATTTAGTTATTAAGTTGGAAAATACTGTAGCTATGAATAATCCACCAATAAGGAATTTTGGTCAATTTTGCTAGGTACACATGAAAGGGTACATGTGGTAGAAAAAAGTCAAAATACATGTTATGGTCTCAGAACAATGAGAAATTCATGAGGATTTTGTAAGAATGTCAGCACACCGAGAGGACACGCAGACACAGATGCGTGCAAATCTGTATGTCCATGGAGACAGTGGCCTACAAGGCTGCACACTGCCCACCACCATCATTGCTGCCACCTCTGCAGCCCCCTGCCAACCTTGACTGAAAGTTACCTGCTGTCCTTCTTCTGTGCAGCTGGGAACCCCCCTTATCTGCAGTTTCCTGTGAGGCTGCTCTCACCCTGTGATGCAAGGTGGCCATGAGCCAGCCACTGTGAATTTGTGATCCAGTGATCCAACCTACATCTGCAAAATGGCTGAGGGGACAGAAACTTCTCTGCCCTTCCCCACCCTTGCCCCTCCCCAACACCAACCCCTCCTGGTAATGCTACTGCTCCTTCCCATCAAACAAGGACTATTCTTACTTGTTCCAACTGTCTTCCTTGTCAGTAGATCTCATGGATTGTGAGTAACACTTAAAAGAAGAAAAGGCATTCGAACTCCTCCCCACAGAAGGCAGTCCGCAGGGAGCAGCCTCTGCATCACTTCCAGAGCTGTCCTCCCTCCCCTGCTCAGGCCCTTTATGGTCTGTCCTTCCTGCTCCTGCCTCCTCATATATTATTCATCCCAGCGATCCTTCCAACCCACTGCCCTTATCTCATGCCCTGAACTGTGCCAGACACACTGTTTCCTCTTCCCTTTACCTCCCCTGTCTGGTGGATCCCCTGCCCCTCACTCTTCAGCATCTCCTCCAATGCTCCTCCTCCTGAAGGCCCCCCTTGTCCATCCCATCCCAGGCCTGATGCCTGTCCCCTGAGTTCCTAAGGGCAGCTCTTGCACTTGCAGTTTAGTTTCTGTTAAGTTTTCTGAATCCTCACTCGTCTTAAACACCTGAGAATTTGGAAACTTTGTCTATGTTGTTCCCCTGTGAGCCCCACACATGCAGTGGACAAACAGCAACACAGAAGATTTTGTTTTTTTGTTGTGTTTCACTAATGAATCAGTGACTCTCCTTCCCCAAATGCTTGCCTACTTCCCTAGACACTCCATCTCTCTTTCAATCTGAAGAGGATTTGTGCCTGAAGATGAACCTGTTTCTTGTGCTCTCTTCTGTTCTCAGGTCAGGATGTGAGCCCTGATTCTGCCCAGCCTTTTTGCCAGCCTCCCCACCCTCAATCCACTGCAGAGCCCCTCTCATGGGCCATGCTGCTTCTACCTCATCTGTCCCTCTTCTGTTCTTCTGGACAGTTTTGTCCTTGCAGACCTAGGAAAAGTATTTTGTTCTCTAAAATTCGCTTACATTAATATGGTTCCCTTGATAAATATTTCCAATGTTGTTCTCATATTTCATCATTTCTAGTCTATTTTATTTCAAATTTTATTACAATAGCGTTAGCCTAGTGGTAGCCATGACATGCTTTTCATTGTTTGCATGAACTTGCGCTGCAACCCGCTGTCATTTCTTACAGGATCGCCTGCAGCAACACTTACAGAACAGGTGTGAACAGGAATGGTGCAAATTGCACAGAAAATGCTGCAGCCTCTTTTTTAAGAAATGTTTTATTGCCATCAGTCTTCCTGCCACACAGTGCGATTAAGATATCCAAGATTCTGCATTAAAGTCTGGTTTAGAACTATCATAAGCACAATTTCAAGATATCTATTGATTTACTTATGAATTAATTTCAAGATTGTTTATATTTTGATGTGACTAAAACTTATGCTTTTATAACTATGGAAGGGCTTTTAAAATAAATATTAAATCGACTCTTATGTGTTTATTAGTCATGGCTCTCAAAATGATATTTTATTCTGTCAAGGAAAGACAACATATAGGAGGGTACTCTCATAAGGTTATAATTGACCTGAGAACTTCCTATCACCTAGAGATGTCAAAGCTGTCACGATGCCATAGCACAATTACTTTAGTTTTTAATAAATTAAGTGTAGCCTTAGTTTACAGTGTTTCTAAAGTCTGCAGTAGCATACAGTAATGTCCTAGGTCTTCACATTCACTCACCACTCACTCACTGACTCACCCAGAAGAACTTCCAGTCCTGCAAGCTCCAGGCATGGCAACTGCCCTATACAACTGAACAATATTTTTTGTTTTATACCATCTTTTTATGTTTTCTATGTTTAGATAGGTTACATGTTTAAATACTTATCATTGTGTTACAATTGCTTATAGTATTCAGGACAGTCACATGCTTATAGGCTTATAGCTTGGGAGCAATAGTAAGTACCATGTAGCCTGGATGTGTAGTAGGCTATGCCTTCTAGGTTTGTGTAATGCTCTCCATGTTTGCACAGAGATGAAATCACCAAACAATGCATTTCTCAGAAGGTATTTCCATGATTAAGCAATGCATCACTGTACTTTGACAGAGATATTATCCTTTTATTTATTTATGCTTTTGAGATGGGGTCTCACTCTGTTGCCCAGGCTAGAGTGCAGTGGCACAATCTCAGCTCAATGCAACCTCCACCTCCCAGGTTCAAGCAATTCTTGTGTGCCCTTTGCACTGCACAGCCACCCTGCAACAACCCCAAGGATGAAGGGCAGCCCATTAGAGATGAAGGAAATGGGTATAATAGGTTGAACCACCTCACCTCAACCCAATCCCTGCATTTCCTATGATTTGTTGTTATTTGTGGCTGGTAAACTTATTACATTTTATAATATATGGGCTTCCTCACTTGCTATGATTCAACTTAAAATTTTTAAATTAAATAAAAGCAATACACATTAATGGAAACTATACTTTGAGTGTCCAATCTTTCTGTTTTTCTGTTTCAGTACAGTATTCAATAAATTGCATGAGATATTCAACACTTTATGATAAAATAGGCTTTGTGTGGATGATCTTCCCAAACGTTAGGCTAATATAAGTGTTTTGAGCACACTTAAGGATGATAGGCTAGGCTGTGATTTTAACTAAGTTAGGTATATTCAATGCATTTTCGACTGATGACATTTTTAACTTGTGATGGGTTTATCTGGAAGTAACCTCATCATAAATCAAAAGCATCTGTAATTTAAATGGAGCTTTGTATTTATAAATGAACAACACAATTCTCATTAAAATAAGTAGAAACTAGTAAGTCTTATCTCCTCCATTTGTTTCCCACAAAACTTCCAGTTTCCTTTAAATTTGGGAATCACCTTATCTCTTTTCTTCACTAAATAAATACCAGTTTGTATCAAGTTGCTCTCCATATGCAAGAAAATTAAAGTTAATGGTGTCAGATCATAATACAATAAAAGAATGAAAGAGGTAATTTTAAAAATTTGATTATTCATTTATTTATTTTTATTAAGGTCTGCCCTTGACATTCTCTGTATGGAGGACTGAAATCCAGAGCCCCTGATTGCAGCATTGCTTGGCAAACAAATGTCCATCTGTCAGAGGCATGTGAACCAGAGCAACTCCATCTTGAATAGGGCTGGGTAAAATGAGGATGAGACCTACTGGGCTGCATTCCCAGATGGTTAAGGCATTTTAAGTCACATCAGGAGACTGGCACAAGATACAGGTCATAAAGATCTTGCTGATAAAACAGGCTGCAGTAAAGAGGCCGGCTAAAATCCACCAAAACCATGATGGTGACGAGAGTGACCTCTGGTCGTCCTCAGTGCTACATCCCTCCAGCACCACGACAGTTTACAAATGCCATGGCAACATCAGAAAGTTACTTTATATGGTCTAAAAAGGGGAGGCATGGATAATCCACCCTTGGTTTAGCATATAATCAATAAATAACCATGAAAATGGGAATCCAGCAGCCCACAGGGCTGCTCTGTCTATGGAGTAACCATTCTTTTTCTGCTTTACTTTCTTAGTAAGCTTGCTTTCACTTTACTCTGCAGACTGGCCCTGAATATCGGCAACCCTCTCTTGGGGTCTGGATCAGGACCCTTTTCCTGTAACACATCTATTAATTTGGAATAAAAATATCCATAAAGTATCAATGCTGTTAGTCTGTTGGTTTCTCACATCTTATACATCTTTAACAAATGCCCCTGGAATTGTTTTTATTCCATTAGACTGAGGATTTCATTACTTGTATGAAATTTGCTAGTGAGTCTCAGGGACTCATCCTGCAGGAATGCTTCCTTCACTAGAGAATGCGTTCCTCTAGTGGAATACAATCTTGTTGGCATTTGTACAATTTATAATACAGGCCCTAAATCAATCCTGGTCTACTTTTTTTTTTGGATTGAATGGTTGGGAATAATGCTCAAAATCCTAAGGGAGATTGAACACTCAAACAAAGGATTCTTAGCAAAGCAATTTTACTTCTGCGCAGAGGGGTGCTTCTCCTTGGCCAGTCGCCATGAAAGCACACCAGAACAAAGGGGCACAAGAGTCTTTATTCCTGCCCCAAGTCCTGCCCCTGTACCCTTTTCCCATTGGTGGAGGTCAGGTCGCACAGTCTGAACTAATCCTGGTTGGCTAGACAATTGAACTTTCTTTAGATAAGGTGGGCACATAAGGGAGAGAGGGGAAAAGGGGAAGGGGTGTCTGCAATGAGCTAGAGAGCTAGTCTCCTTTCCAAATAAGGAAAGGAATGTGAGCTGGTACTGATAAGCCTGCTACTGTGGCATGTCCGGGCATGCAACAAAGGCAGAAAGAAAAAAGAGAAAAAGGAAAAGGGGGTGGGGGTTACTATTAATTAAAGAATAAACGATTGATCAGGCTATTTGAAGAGAAGCCTCATCATACCCCACAGAGTCTTTCTCTGTCACCCAGACTGGAGTGCAGTGGCTCGATGTTGACTCACTGCAACCTCAGCCTCCCAAGTTCAAGCAATTCTCCTGCCTCAGCCTCCCGAGTAGCTGGGATTACAGGTGCATATCAGCATGCCCGGCTAATTTTTGTATTTTTTTTTTTTAAGTAGACAGGGTTTCACCATGTTGTCCAGGCTAGTATCAAACTCCTGGCCTTATGATCCACCCGCCTTAGCCTCCCAAAGTGCTGGGATTACAGGTGTGACCACTGTGCCAGGCTCCTGGTTTACTTTTTGGAGCCCTAAATTGTTTCTTCAGGAGGAAATCCATGTTCAATTCAGGTTGAGGAATTCCATTTTCACTACCCAGGACACTAAGCCATCAATTTGAAACCATCTTTGCAAAAAATCATAACTGAGAAAATTATTACAGTGAAAGAGATCTGACCTAACTGACTCCATCTTGCTTCTAACCTCCAAGCTGCCCTTGTTCATTCCCCGCGAACTTCAGGAGGAATTCGGTTTATAGTTTAGCTTTTAAATGAAGACAGTAACAGCCCTTTCCCAAAACAACCCCCCTCCATCATGCCTTTGTAGGAATAACAAATCAGCTACAAGATTAAAAATTACGGTTTAGGATTCATCCAGCTGGAGACTGCAGGACTCTAAACTGCCTCAAACTGCTCCTGGGGATAACATCACTATTGTGAAACCTAAGCTCAGTCAGTGCTTGAGATCTATTGCAGGCCCTGCTCCCGATGGATCAGCTGATACCACCCAGATCAATAAACTGACTCATCTGATCTTATGGCCCCAACCGGGGAACTGACTCAGCGCAAGAGGACAGCTTCCACTCCCTATGATTTCATCTCCAACATGACCAATCAGCACTCCCCACTTTCCGACCCCCTACCCACCAAATTATTCTTAGAAACCCCTGATCCCCCTACAGGGAGATTGATTTGAGTAATAATAAAACTATGGTCTCCTGCACAGCCGGCTCTGGGTGAATTCTTGCTTCTCTATTATAGTTCCCTTGTCTTGATAAATCGGCTCTGTCTAGACAGCTGGCAAGGTGAATCCCTTGGGTGGTTACAAATTCACATAAAAACTACCTCAGAGGAGTGTCAAAGGTTGAGCCTAAACAATAGACATCGACCCAGATGACCAATACAAAGGTGTTAAATTATTGACAGAGTAAAAAAAAAATTCCCAAATACTCACAAGCATGAAAACTTAAAAAATGCTAACTAATAACAGAAAATCAATAAGGACTGTAATTTCCTTATTACAAGATCAGATTATAAAACTATATGCTACCTGGATATGGATGACAACATTTTCTGAATGATATTTTTGATTCACTGAAAACATAAAAAAAACCCAAAATATTAATCATTCATCAAATAGTAAGAAAAAAATATATATCTATATCATTGGTTATCTGTGCAAACATCATGCCGACAATTACAAAAGCAAGTTGGGAAAAAAATCAAAGACTCTAGCCAATGTCTACAGTTTTGGGGTAAGGAGAAAAGCAAACAACATGACGACATTCCTATTTGCGCAGTGCAGTGACTGTCTCTACATTTAGAATGGGAGTCGCAATGTTCTGTCTACACAAATTAATTCTTTGTCTACCTTTTACAATTAGAACAAGCTAAACAATATAATGCAAATAATCACAGCCTTTATTAAAGCATGCGATTCTGAGCATATGTGATCTTGTGCCTCACATAAAATTTTGTTCCTCTCCTTTTCAACCAGAGATGTTTCATAGGAAATTTCTCGACAACACTAAAAACCGCGTGACATCTGCTTTTCCTAATAAAAGTAATATTTCCATTGCACTGGTAAAGAATGATCATGGAAAAGATGAAAATAACTGACAAGATATTTTGAAAAAGTGATTATGAATGTATTTTTAAATACAAAAACGAAAGTTGTTAATACAGAATGCGAACATGCGAAGTTGGTTTTAGATGATGTTTATGTGAAATTATAAAAAAGAAAACTGCATACAAGTATTAAAGATATTTGGACCTTAAAACAAAAACACAAAAGCAAGAATGAATATTACCAGGAAAGCCTGAAGCTGTTAAGTGTTCTTGATCAGCAAGCAGAATGACTGGAGAGAAAAGCCTTTCTTATGCAAAAGAACTGCATTCCTCAAACAGCTCCAGAGGGAAGACAGGGGGCGGCTGGCCTTGCCACTGCAGACCCCACAGAAGGCTCTGAGCTCAGCTGCAGTGGATGTGGCCCCGCCCTTGGTGGGCGTGGTCTGCAGCAGGACGACCGCATTCATGGTACAACTGCGCTTGCGCAAGAAGGATGTCTGCAGGGGTTTCTGCCACCTCTGGTGGTTGCTGGGTGGGTAGAAAATCCCAAAGGCTTCAGAAGGAGGGAATCCTAATGAGGAGTGTTGACATCTCATAAAATCCACCAAGAATGGACTAAGCAAATAAAGCAGGGAATGATGTTGTGGGGGTTGTCTAAGATTCACAAGAACATTAAAGACCTAAGTGTCATCAGTAATAGTGAGTTCTAAATTCTGCTCTTTATTCAAGGGACAACTGAGAATATTGGTGTAGGTTCAAGGCATAGAGGTTTTCACTCTTTCTTCTTTATATAATAGCACACTTGGCTAAGAGAAGGCCCTAGAGAGAAAATTCTGTGTTAAATGAAGTGTCTTACTAAAATAGTGTGATATTTTCACAGAGAAATAAACCAATGGAAAAAAAAAGGAGAGAGCAAATCAGACACAAGCATATATACACAAATAATTTATAAGATTAATTGGGGAAATGTGAATTTTTCTATAAATATTTCAAGAAATATATCCACAGGGAAAAATAAAATCTGATCTATAACCTCACATTACACATAAAATCATTCCTAGGTGGATCTTAGACCTAAATATTAAATCAATTTAACACAGGATTTACATCTAATTTGGGAACATGACTTCCGGGGTAGAATACCTTTTTTTTTTTTTTTTTTTTTTTGAGACAGATTCTCGCTCTGTTGCCCAGGCTGGAGTGCAATGGTGCAATCTTGGCTCACTGCAACCTCCTCCTCCTGAGTTCAAGCAATTCTCCTGCCTCAGCTTCCTGAGTAGCTGGGATTACAGGTGCCCGCCAGCATGCCTGGATAATTTTTTTGTATTTTTAGTAGAGACGGTATTTTGCCACATTGGCCAGGCTGGTCTCAAACTTCTGACCTCACGTGATCTGCCTGCCTCAACCTCCCAAAATGCTGGTATTACAGGCATGAGCCACTGCGCCTGGCCCTAGAGTAACATTTCTTAATCCGGTCCTAGAATGTGTTTTCCATACAAAAAAAGATATTCTAAAACACGTGATGTAAGTAAAGACTTCAAAGATAGACTCAGTCAAAATCAAGTTTCATCCATTCCTTTCTTGTAGGGCTTTAGATCAAATTCACTAGGTGATTGGGAGTAAAACTAGTGCCGACCTCTTGAGATGCTGTGAGGATGAAATGAACTAATAATCCATAAAACCTGTAGATTAATATCATCTATACAAATGAATGTAGTATTTGCTGATACTGACATAAATAGTAATTGCAAAATAAATTATTCACATCAATTATAGGTTGCATCATTACTTTACATTTCACAATGGAGAATAAAACCACTGACAAATCAGATAATTATGTATTTGGCTGTAAAATAAGATTTAAAAAAGTGTACCCTGAAAGGCACAATGTAAACATCCATGAACAAATCTTCTAGAGGCTTCTTGAGCAGCACTAGAATTTTTTTTTTTTTTTTGAGACGGAGTCTCGCTCTGTCACCCAGGCTGGAGTGCAGTGGCACAATCTCGGCTCGCTGCAACCTCTGCTTCCCAAGTTCAAGTGATTCTCCTGCCTCAGCCTCCCGAGTATGGTGATGGGACTGCAGGTGCCCATCACCACACCCAGCTAAATTTGTGTTTTTAGTAGAGATGGGGTTTCACCATGTTGCCCAAAGGTCTTGAACTCCTGAGCTCAAGCATTCCACCCACCTCAACCTCAAGTGCTGGGATTACAGGTGTGAGCCACAGCTCCTGGCCAACTGGGCTAGAATTAATAGTCGCTGTGTTAAAGAGAAACCTCAAGAATGAACTAGAAATAACAAAAGTACAACAAATGTGGAGAGGTGATGTATATGCTATGTTTCAATAAATCTATTGAGAAGGAAGATAGAAATGGCAAACAGTCACTTTGCTACTTCTTCATTGGATGGGTAGCTTTCTTCAGAGTTAAAGTTGTACACTGAGAATTTCTGTTCTAAGAAATATGAGCAATCAACCCAAAAAGTTGTATTCCAAACCTAATACTTTAATTCACAACAGTTCTCTATCTAATTCGTTCTCCATTTGTCTTCCTTATCATATAGAGGGTGATCTACATGATCACATATAAAGGTGGCCCTTTATGGCCATTTTTTGCAGAAATAAATGCATTATTGTTTTTAAAAATGGTTTTGGTATGTTCTTGCTATGGTTTGAATTTTTGTCCCCTACAGTTAGTGGAAACTAACTGCCACTGTAGCAGTATTAAAAGGTGGGGCTGTTAAAAGGTAATTAGGCCTTGAGGGCTTTAGCCTCATAAACGGATTCATGCCATTATACTAGGAGTGTGTATACGAAAATGATATAGTAGCCAATTAAAAGACCTTCCAATAGCCAAGAGTAGAAAATTTTGAACAACAAAATAAACTAGTAAAATGTAAGTGTAAAATAAAGATCCATGTTTGCATATTGATATAAATAAATGAGTGAAAAAATATATAAAACAAATGGAGGAAAACTGACACATTTCACATGTTGAAGGATTCCAAATTATTTTTGCAGATACTCTTCCCATAAAGAGGTGAAGAATGACTTCCCACTTCTTACTAAGCCTAATGACTTCTTTTCAAAAGTACAACACAGGAAGTGTAACAAATAGCAATTTAACAGTGGAAGAATCTGATAAGAAGTAATTCAAATAGGTAATCAAATTAAGGTCAACATGATATGACATGCTATTAGTATGTAACATTGGTATGATGTGATAAGAATGGCAATTTCCCTGTGTAGTCCTCCTTTTGAAAACCTATGGCTGGGCACGGTGGCTCACGCCTGTAATCCCAGCACTTTGGGAGGCCGAGGTGGGCAGATCACGAGGTCAGGAGATTGAGACCAGCCTGGCTAACACGGTGAAACCCCGTCTCCACTAAAAATACGAAAAATTAGCTGGGCGTGGTGGCGGGCGCCTGTAGTCCCAGCTACTTGGGAGACTGAGGCAGGAGAATGGCGTGAACCTGGGAGGCGGAGCTTGCAGCAAGCCGAGATCGCGTCACTGCACTCCAGCCTGGGCAACAGAACGAGAGTCATCTCAAAAAAAAAAAAAATCAGACAACTTCCTAATGAAGTATGTCAATGTCATGAAAGACCAGGAAAGTTGAAGGAAGTGTCAACAGCTTATGAAGCATAAAGAGGAATGACATCTAAATATGATGTGTCATCCTGGATGGGATTCCAGAATCAAAAAATGGACATTAAGTGAAATTAAGGACATGTGAATAAAGCATGGATAGCAGTGAATGATAATGTTTAACATTGGTTCTTAATTGTAACAAGCGTAACACACTAATGTTAAGATTTATAATAAGGAAAACTGTGTGTGGTATATGTAAACTCTTTATATTACCAATTTGTTCTGTGAGTCTAACACTATTCTAAACAGAACAAGTTTTCTAAAAGCACTGTCAAGCTTAACAGACCATTAGCAATATATTTGGAATTCCCTATTTGTCATTACCTGATTTTTAAAAATTATTTTTCTCTGTTATTTTTTCTTTTCTCTCTTTTTTGTTGAGATATGGTCTCACTCTCTTGCCCAGGTTGGAGCGCTATGGCACAATCACAGCTCAGTGAACCTTGACCTCCCAAGCTCAGGCCACCCTCCCAATCCTCCCACCTCAGCCTCCCGAGTAGCTGAGACTGCAGACATATGCTGCAACACCTAGCTAATTTTTTGCATTTTTTTTAGAAACAGCGTTCTGCCATGTTGCCCAGATTGGTCTTGAATTGCTGAATTGCTGGATTCAATTAATCTGCCCACCTTCACCTCCCAAAGTGTTGGGATTATAGGCATAAGCCACTGCGTCCAGCCCTATGTTAATACTTCTAACTAATATGTTATTCTGTTTTTCTTGTTTTCTAATTTGGAAAAATATGTTTAATTTACACATTGTTTCTAGTCTAATTATGAGAAACCATCAGACAAATACACATTGTGGGACATTCCACAAGATATCTGACTGGTATTTTCACAAGGGTCAAAGTCATGAAATATAAGTGGTGACTGAGAAACTTTTGCAGAATGAAGAAGACCTGATTTGGCAGGTAGACCCTATGATGATGCCCAATGATCGCCTAAGTTTCCATCTTAGGAACCTAGAAAAAGAAGAGCAAATTAAATTTCAAGTAAGCAGAAGAAAAGATATAATATTGTAAAGACAGGATACACGAAATAAAACACAAAACAACTGGATTTTTCAAATGTGTGTTGATAGGTTTATAGTTTGCTGAACACTGGAGTATCCAACATTAACAGGGAAAACACAACACCCCAAGCATACACCTTACTTAAGAACATGTAGTTGTGACATCCATGAAATGAGGAGACACTAATCTTCATAAATGATCAACGAAGAAAAACTAAAGTGTGATAATTTCATTTGTTTACCAAGCTGACAACATTTTAACTATGACTAATCCACCATTAAGTAATTTATGTAAGTAACTTTTTCTATGATATAATGTAAAAGTCATATGTGATAGAATAAAGTTACAATACATGTCATCATCTGAGACGCACAAAATAACCGAGGGGAAAGGAACCTGCATTCAGGGTGGGATGGGGCGAGTCTCAGTGATGGAGAAAGGGACATGAACAGGAGCATCCAAGTTCCCTTAGTTGGCCCGTACTGGATCTGGAGGGTCCTCTCTGTTCCTCTTCACTCTCCCTTCTTCCTAGAACCAATTCCTCATAATGCACAGGGACCTCCTCAGACACAGAGGCTATCCTCACTCTTCTTGACCTGGAGGTACTGTTGCAAGGAACGAGACTGATATTTGAACTACCAGCACAACAAATGCATTCCTTAGTGGGCTGGCCGGCCCTGTGTCACTTCCTGACCTGCCCACTCTCCCCTTCACAGCCTCTCCATGGTCTGCCCTTCCCGCTCCTGCCCTCCTTACATGTTGCTAATCCCAGCAGTCCTTCTAATCCACTGTCCCCTTCTCATGCCCTGGCCTGTGCCACAGACACATTTTTTCCTCTTCTCTTTCTCCTGTTTGCCAGATTCACTGCTCCACGCTCTCCAGAACCTCCTCCAATGTTCCTCCTCCTAGAGGCCTTCCTTGTCCATTCCATTTCAGGTCTGATGCCTGTGCTCTCAGCTCCCAAAAGTTTTGTAACCCAAAACTCCTACATTTGAGATTTGGGTTACAGTCCTTGAATCACTACTGGACTGAAATATCAGAGGTTATTTTGTCCATGTTGTTCACCTATGAGCCCCAAACATGCACTGGGCAAAACCCAAAACAGAATATTTTCCTTTATTTTAAATTTCACAAATTATTTAATGAATCTCTAAAACTTCCCCCCACCAGCCTGGGCAACAAAGTGAGACACGTCTTTACAAAAAAATAAAATAGGCAGGGCTTGGTGGCATATGCCTGTGGTCCCAGCTACATGGGAGGCTGAGGTAGGATAACTGCTAGGGCCCAGGAGGTAGAGGCTGCAGTGAACAGTGTATATGCCACTGCACTCCAGCCTGGGCAACAAAATAAGACCCTGTTTCAAAAAAAGAAAACAAAAAAAAAATAAAAACTCCTCACAGATATGGTTTCCTAATAAACTTAAATTTTCTTTCAAAGTGAAGAATGTGTGAATCTGAAGATGAACATGGTTCTTTTGCTCCCTTTTGCTTTTAGGACAGGAGTGAGCCCTGACTTCCCCCTCAGCCTCTTCTCCAGCCTCCCTATTCTCAATCCACCACAAAGATGAACACATAGACCAGGCTCCTTCTACCTCATCTGTACTTTTTTTCTGGACAGTTTTGCTCCCTTGATGAAGGAAGATGTTCTTGTTTCATAGATTCAGCTCCATTAATAGAGCTCCCTTAGGCCGGGTGCAGTGGCTCACGCCTGTAATTCCAGTACATTGGGAGGCCAAGGCGGGTGGATCACCTGAGGTCAAGAGTTTGAGACCAGCCTGGCCAAAAAACATGGTGAAACCCCGTCTCTACTAAAAATGCAAAAATTAGCTGGGTGTGGTGGCAGCCGCCTGTAATCCCAGCTACTCAGGAGGCTGAGGCAGGAGAAATGCTTGAACCTGGGTCAGGGAGGTTGCAGAGAGCCGAGATCGTGCCACTGCACTCCAGCCTGGACAACAAAGAGAGACTCCGTCTCAGACAAAAAAAAAAATTGGACCTCCCTTGATAATTCTGTATCGTTATTAGTTATCATATTTGAATAATTTTTAAAAATTATTTTGTCAAGTGTTGTTACAATCACTATTAGCCTGTTGGCAGCCATGACATGGCTTTCATTGTTTGCACTTGTTTTGCAACCTTCTGCTGTTTCCTTCTGGTAACATCACTTACATCAAAACATGCAGAATGGTGTCAGCAAGAAAGGTGGAAATCACACAGACAGTGGTCCAGCCTTGTTTTCTAAGAAATGCTTCATTACCATCTCTGTTCATGCCACAGAGGGTGGTGTGAAGACATCGATGACTCTGAATCAAAATCTAATTTGGAAAAATCAGAATTGGAATTTCAAGATATTTGCAAATTCACTTATGAATTACGTTCATTATTGCCTTCATTTTCATAACAAGTAAATCTTATGCCTTTATAATTTTACGAGGATTTTTTCAATAAGTATAAAATAAGGCAATTATGCGTATAGTCGTTTGACACAGATCTATTTGCATTTAGATCAATCTTAAATCTTTGATTCACTAACTTTCAGTGGATGGCCCTCATCCAGACTCCCACAGGTACTGTGCATAGGTCAATTCTGACCTGTTCTGAGAGGCCCCAACTAAATCTGGGTCCTAGTAACAGAGCAGCTAGCAGCCCTCCAATACTAGGAAATGAAGGGGAGGTGGACATAGTTGTTCACAGCGTGTCTCTTTCAGGTTACTTCTTTTACCTAGCTGACACTCTAACACCTGTGTCTGACCTGGGACCAGGTGTCCATCTCACAGGAAACATATACTGGCAGATGACTTTCTGGCTGTTGTCTGACCTGTGTCCCGTTTATTCCTGTGTGATCACCACTGTGGCACTGGAAACCAGATCCTGTATTCTCCCAGTGTCCTAGGGAAAACTAAGCCTTTAGTAGACCTTTCTTCTTCAAATGGAAGGCACACATTTAATCTGATTAGTAAAATAATTTTGTAATTGTATGATCAGTTGTAAAGTGATGGATGAGGTGATGGAATAAGGGAAGTAAGGATACACAGAAAAGCATGACCTAGCCACTGTTTTAAAACATAGTAGAGGCCGAGCGCGGTGGCTCACGCCTGTAATCCCAGCACTTTGGGAGGCTGAGGCGGGTGGATCACGAAGTCAGGAAATCAAGACCATCCTGGCCAACATGGTGAAACCCCATCTCTACTAAAAATACAAAAATTAGCTGGGCGTGGTGGCATGTGCCGGTAATCCCAGCTACCCGGGAGGTTGAGGCAGAATTGCTTGAACCAGGGAGTCGGCGGCAGAACTGCCTGAACCAGGGAGTCGGGGGTTGCAGTGAGCCGAGACCGCACCACTGCACTCCAGCCTGGTGACAGAGCGAGACTCCGTCTCAAAATAAAATAAAATAAAATAAAAATTAAAAAAAAAACACGTAGTAGTGAAACTTCTTTCAACCTTGTACATTTTTTCTTAAAACACGGTATTTTATAATGAAAATAGAGACTGTGGGGAAAGTTTGATCTTGAAGCCCCTACAACACCTCTCAGATTAAAGGTATGTTGGTGGAAGAGTTAAAAATAGAGAATCTTAAGGCCAATACACAAATGATTAAAGTAGTATCCGATATTTACAAAACGATAATCAGTTCAGTAAATTGAAAAATATTTCAAATTTTCAGACAAATGCCAAAAAAGACATTGAAGTTATTAATACTGAAAAGGAAGAATATAAAATCATGGTTCTTGCAATGTTTATATAACTATAAAAAGAGGTTGTAAAGAAACACCACAGTTTTTGGGAAAGAGAAACCTTAGGTTAAAACAAAGTTAATACAAGAGTAAGAAACAAGACAATGATACGAAACCTAGAGAGGAAAATTTTACGGGAAAACGCAGGTTAAAGTTTCCGCGGTATAAGCGGCTGATAAGACACTCCCAGCGGGCGCCATAACCGGAAGAGATCCGCTTGAAGCGCGGAAACGGAAATAGCAGGGGGAAAGGGCAACACCGAATCCTCCAGTCCCGCGCAGGCGCAAATAGGATCTGCCCCCGCCCCCGCCCCCGCCCCCGCCGCCGCCCCCGCCCCCACCGCCGCCCCCGCCCCCCAGCTCCGTCCTGTGACCTTCCCACAGCGCACCACGAGCTGGTTGGCCGCACCGGACAGTGGCGCATTTGCTGCGGGCCGCCCTGTGAGGTTGGAGGACCTAGGCTGTGAGGCACCGCTCAGAATCGCGGGGGACCAGGAGTCCCGGCCCTGCCACGGAGACATGAGCGAATGCACCTGACTTCTCCATCAGAGTGGAAAACGTTTTATGTAATAATAACCCATCAAGGCTTTAGTCTAAGAAATTACTCTAATCTTCTGAACTATAATGCTCCTGGAGAGTGATGTGTAGGGAAACACAAACAACTTAGGGTTTAATGTGACACTGCAACACTGCAAAGTCAGCTGAAGTCGTTTTACAGTTATATCCGAAGTATGATTGCGCTCAGGGTATCACACTCCTATACATCCGTATTTGTAAATCAATTAGCATAATGGGATTCACTTTGATATTTAACCCTTGCGTTAAATGACAGGAAAAGTGGGCATGGGCCAGGACTCGCTGAGTGTTTACTGGGAATGGTTATGGATTGCATTTCACCACTGACCCCTGCAGCAATATTATTTTATTATTTTGAGGGAGAGTCTCACTCTATCACCCAGGCTGGAGTGCAGTGGCGCGATCTCGGCTCACTACAACCTCCACCTCCTAGGTTCAAGCAATTCTCCTGCCTCAGCCTCCCAGTAGTTGGGATTACAGGCACCCGCCACCATGCCCACTAATTTTTGTATTTTTAGTAGAGACAGGGTTTCACCGTGTTACCCAGGCTGGTCTTGAACTCCTGGCCTCAAGTGATCTGCCCGCCTCGGCCTCCCAGTGTGTTGGGATTACAGGCATGAGCCACAGTGCCCGGCCAATATTTTAGTTTTTAAATAAATATAAGAAAAATCCTGCTCAAATTAAGTTTCCGGTTCCTGGGCCTCACCTTTTTTTTCCCGCCTCTTGTTATTAAGTTTGCCATGGGCCTCCCTTTCTGTTGATGCTAGGTGGCGCTGTGAGCATAGTAGTCTCATTCCTCAAACCACAGTGTAGCAGGTATTTTGAAATGCTGGTAAGGTGAAATTAAGGCATGAAAGTAACCTATGCTTGGTGCCAAAATGTCGTTTTCTAGGTAGAGGATTTCTTTTCTGACTTTGTATCTTTCGCAGGAAGGTATGACTCAATCAAGAGGAGCTTCTACCCTGAAAATACTAAAATTTTTTGTGAACACTTTTCCCAGAGTTTATGTTGTCTCTCATTTTCCTCACTTTTAACTTTTTCTTTGCCTGTACAGGGTCTGAGCCTCAATCCCGCACATTTGTTTTTTCTTTCAAATTCAAAAGACTCCCAAATTCCCATTTTAACAATTACAACAGCTGTATTCTTGAGTCGACCCCATAGTAGCTGAATAGAACCTTAGAAAACTATAAAAATCCTAACTTATTGACACAGAACAAAATTTCTTAAAAATCTAGCCCTGACATAGATTTCTAACTTCCTTCAGTGTACTGAAATTGTTACTCTCCCTGTGATGTCTCAAAAATGTTGACTTGTAGACACACCCTGGTCTCTACCTGAATACTAATCCTTCTTTTGTCTTGTCTAATTCTAATTTGCATGGTTTTCAGCTACTTTATTCAATCATAAATTACTTCCTGCAGGATTCCTTCTATGACTATTTAAATTTGGTTTGTATGCCCATGCATTTTGTGGATTTCCACAGAATAATGCACATTCCCTACTACAACCCCTCTGATTTGCATTGCCTATTTGTTCATATCTCTGCTTGACAAATGCCTCAAATAAAGGAGAAATGTTTTTCATTTATCCATCCCTCACAAGTAGCAATGTATATACCACATGGCTGCCACTAGATTTGCTTAGTTTGTAAAAATGAGTGAGTGAAAATCGGTTGACTTCCTTTATACTGATAATGAAAAATTGACTATAGAAGTTAAAATGTATTTTATAATAGCATAAAAACGTGATATACTTCGAGATAAACCTGACAAAATGTGTGCAAAATGTGTGCTCTGGGAATTAGAAAATGCTGATCAGATTGATATTCAAAAAAATCTAAATAAATATAAAGATATACCAATTTAATGGATTGGAAAGCTCAATATTAAGGATCAATTTTTTTTTTTTTTGAGACGGAGTCTCGTTCTGTCACCCCAGCTGGAGTGCAGTGGCACGATCTTGGCTTACTGCAACCTCCACTTCCCAAGTTCAAGAGATTCTCCTGCCTTAGCCTCCTGAGTAGCTGGGATTACAGGCGCTTGCCACCACGCTCGGCTAATTTTTGTATTTTTAGTAGAGACAGGGTTTCACCATGCCTTGGTCAGGCTGGTCTCAAGCTCCTGACGTCGTGATCCACCCACCTCAGCCTCCCAAAGTGCTGGGATTACAGTCTTGAGCCACCACGCCTGACCAAGGGTCAATTCTTACATATTTATCTATACATTCAGTAGAATCCTCAGCTGATTTTTTATATTTTTTTTAGAAACTGAGAAGTAGATTCCAAAATTTATGTAAGAAACTAAATAATTAGTATAGCCAAACCAATTTAGAAGAAAAGGGACAATATTGGGGGACTCACTACTTATTTCACGTTTTCTTTTCTTTTCTTTTTTTTTGAGACGGAGTTTTGCTCTTGTCGCCCAGGCTGGAGTGCAACTGCATGATCTCGGCTCACTGCAACTTCCGTCTGCCAGGTTCAAGGGATTCTCCTGCCTCAGACTCCCGAGTAGCTGGGATTACAGGCATGTGCCACCACACTCGGCTAATTTTTGTATTTTTAGTAGAGATGGGGTTTCCCCATGTTGGTCAGGCTGGTCTCGAACTCCCGACCTCAGGTGATCTGCCTGCCTTGGCCTCCCAAAGTGCCAGATTACAGGCGTGAGCCACCGCACCTGGCCATTATTTCAAGTTTAATATAATGTGGTATTAGTCAAGATAGTGTGGTATTGGTGTAAGGATAAATAGATAAATGGAACAGTATAGCAAATACATATATGTATGTATGTATAGCATATGCATATTCATATATGGATATGTATAAGGATAAATATTTAGATAACTGGAGCATTATAGCATATACATATATGGTTGGTAGGTTTTTGACTCATGTGCCACGGAAATTCAATTTTCTTGAATTGAAGAAAGGAGAGTATTTGTAGCAAAAGCTCCTAAAACAACAGAGCATTCATATGCCAAAATACAAAACAAAACTCTTCACCCTTTTTTGCACTAGATATAAAATTAATTCAAAATACCACAGATATAAATGTAAATCCTTAACACATAAAATTTCTAAGGAAAATACTGTAGGTAATCTTTATGACCTTGTGTTAAGCAATATATAATGGTAGGGAATAAATATTAAGCACAAAATTTAAAAATGGATAAATTGGCTGGGCACAGTGGCTCATGCCTGTAATCCCAGCACTTTGAGAAGCTGAGGCAGGTGGATCACCTGAGGTCAGGAGTTCAAGACCAGCCTGGCCAACATGGTGAAACCCCATCTCTACAAAAGTACAAAAATTAGCCGGGCATGATAGAGGGTGCCTGTAATCCCAGCTACTCAAGAGGCTGAGGCAGGAGAGTCGCTTCAACCCAGGAGGCGGAAGTTGCAGTGAGCCAAGACTGTGCCATTGCACTCCAGCCTGGGTGACAGAGACAGACTCTGTCTCAAAAAAAAACAACAAAAAAGGACAAATTATTCTTAGTCAAAATTAAAATAAATGCTGCTCTTTGACAGACACTGTTAAGAGAAAGACGAGATGGCACAGGCTCAGAAAAAAATATTTTCGGTACTTAACAGATGTAGGTCATATCAAAATTATACATATACATAGTTAAATTTAATAATACAACAATAAACATTTTTTGAAATGAGAAGAGTGACAGTCAAATAGTAGATATGGATGACGAACAAGTTAATGAGTTTTATTCAATGCCATTATCAGCAGGAAGATGTAAATTATTGAAACCACAGTAAGGTGCCACTATGTCCCTACTGGAATTATTAAGAGTCGATATATATACATATATACACATATATTTACTCATGCGCACACACAAACACACACACACACACACACTACAGACACACACAAACACACAGAGTCCAAACCAAGTGCTGGTAAGGATGTGGAGTAACGGGGATTCCCATATTTTCTGTTAGGATGCAAAATGATAGCCACTTTGGAAAACATTTTGGCAGTTTCTTGTAAAGTGAATCATACGTTTTTTTTTTTTTTCAAGACAGAGTCAGCTCTATCGCCCAGGCTGGAGTGCAGTGGCACCATCTCAGCTCACTGCAACCTCTGCCTCCCAGGTTCAAGCTATTCTCATGCCCTAGCCACATGAGGAGCTGGGATTACAGGCGTGTGCCACCACGCCTAGCTAAGTTTTCTGTGTGTGTGTGTGTGTGTGTGTGTGTGTTTGTGATGGAGTCTCACTCTGTCATCCAGGCTGGAGTGCAGTGGTATGATCTCGGCTCACTGCAACCTCTGCCTCGTGGGTTCAAGTGACTCTCCTGTCTCAGCTTCCTGAGTAGCTGGGATTATAGGCATGCACCACCACACCTGGAGAATTTTCTTTTGTATTTTTAGTAGAGACGGGGTTTCACCATGTTGGCCAGGCTGGTCTTGAACTCCTGATCTCAGGTGATCCGCCTGCCTCAGCCTCCCAAAGTGCTGGGATTACAGGCATGAGCCACTGCACCCGGCCAAGTTTTGTATTTTTAGTAGAGATGGGGTTTCACTATGTTGGCGAAGCTGCTCTTGAACTGTTGGCCTCAAGTGATCCTCCCATCTTGGCCTCCCAAAGTGTTGGGATTATAGGCATGAGCCACCACAACCAGCCTTCTGAATCATACTTTTGTTATATGATCCAGCATCTCAGCGCTAAGATCTATTTTCCCAAGATGAATGAAACCATATGCTTGTAGTAACCATATAATACCTCAACACAAATATCCATCAAGTTATCCATATTTATAACATTTTATATTAATAAAAATGATGAGTACTCCAGAGGCTGAGGCAGGAGAATCATTGAGCCCAGGAGGTGGAGGTTGCAGTGAGCCGAGGTTGCAGGATTGCACTCCAACCTGGGCAACAGGAGCGAAACTCTGTCTTAAAAAAAAACATAAACAATTGAGTAAATTGTGGTACATTCATTGAATATAGCACAGGTCAGTTTCAAAAAGAAACAAACCATTGATACAGTAAACATGACATATCTCGAAAGTGTTACTGAAAGATTACATACAGAATGATTTCATTTATATGACATTCTGTAAAAGGCAAAGTTATGGAGATAGATATCAATAATTTCCAAAACTAAATATGGTGGGAAGACTACTACAAGGAACTTTTGGGGTGAAAATGCAAAACAGTCCTCCAGGTGGCCTTGGATGGATTCAATTATTCCCATTTTCTCAGTTTTAATTTGTCAAGAATAAGTGTAGCATCAGCCTGGAATGCAATATTCTGAGCTAGGGAGGGACTGTCTGGAACAACCCTGGCCTTGTTCTGGCCCTTCCTAAGGAATGTCACATCTTTAGTTAGGGAGGGACTGTCC
Source organism: Homo sapiens (assembly GCF_000001405.40). NCBI lineage: Eukaryota > Metazoa > Chordata > Mammalia > Primates > Hominidae > Homo > Homo sapiens. The sequence continues at coordinate 24,842,645 of NC_000015.10, read as the reverse complement.
AGGAGAGCTGGGGTTTGTTCCTCTCTGCCCTGAAAGCAGTATTTCCTTAAAGCTTTGCTCAATGCGCCATGTCTGCCCTGAGATATGTAACCCAGGGTGGGCTGCCTTTTGGGCTTCCTCAGCTGTGTGAAAGGGGGGCATTTGCAATCCAGACTTCATCTGCCCTGGGAACCCTTCTTGAGCCTTTGGGGATGAGCTCAGAATGGAGCCTAGGCTTCTTTTGAAGGAAGACTTTCTCCCTATCTGTAAATAATAAATGTGCATCCTTTAACTTACTGCCTGAGAATGTGTTCTGTCTCACTGCTCTCAGGCAGTTGTAGCACTGCAGCGGAGGATGCAGTGGGTAGAAGTGTCTGGACTCCTATTCCTGATGGCTGGTATAGTGATGACCTTTGCTGTCCTCTGTGTGGTGGAGTCCTCCCTTGGGATTGGTAATTGGTGAACCTGCTTTGAAAAATTGGTGCAGTGGGTAAGGTTCGGTCAGAGAAACATGGCTTTCTGGCAAAGTGGGAGGGGCAATACCACCCAGTACTCAGCCCAAGGCAGAGACATCAGCCCAGGAGCACAGGGGCTGGACATGTACCTGGATGAGTTATGGATAAGGATGGGTGGTAAATGGGACATGTCACTCTCCTCCCCACAGATGTAAGTGAGCTGGCTGCATGGACTGAGACAGAGAGAAAGGAATGTGGAAACAGCAGATCATAGTTCAAGGTCCCCTAGGTGCTGGGCACTTATGTGATCCCTTATTGTCAGGGCCCAAGAGCTTGAATGGTGAGTATTCAGACAGCCCCTGAGGCACCCAAGAAGAAACTAGAGAGAGGTCCTTGTATGGTCCCTGAGGCATGAGAGGAACTAACACGTACAATGTCAGCCCAGAAGATGGGAAGAGTCAGGCTCGAAAGGATAAGGAGGAAGACCAGGGAAATCTTACGCAGTGTGGCTATTGTGAGTGTTTGATAAAGGAACACTGCCACCTAAGTGTCTTGGTCTGATTGACACAGTTAAGAATGGGGCCAAGGCCTCTAGGTCCCTACTGAAGCCCTCTGGCCTTATACCCTTGTTATGATAAGAGGAGAAAAGAGAAGACTTCAGTTTTTTCTCAGGTGCTTGGATACCGGAACCCACATGACAATGTTTCTGGGTCCTTTTAGGAGAATAATTAAACGGATGACATTGGGAGGTTTGGGAACAAACTGGTGGCCCGTGATGCTTATCTGCACACAATGCTTATGTACTTGTGGGTAGAGCCCTGTGAGCAACTTTTTATGCAGGTGGCTCTGGTTCCCACCCTGAGTGCATTATAGGCATTGATGTCCTGGAAGATTATGCCCCCTCACAGCTAAGAACTAAGACACAATAGTGGGCCGTATCCACTCCTGCCTGTTACCTAAGCTACCCAAGCCGCACTGAATCATTAAAAAAAGTGGTACTGCATACTAAATGGAACAATGACACTATTTTATTAATTCTGGATTTACTTGTTACAGATAAAAATGTGACAACCGGCTGGCCGTGGGGGCTCATGCCTGTAATCCCAGCACTTTGGGAGGCTGAAGTGGGTGAATCACGAGGTCAGGAGTTTAAGCCCAGCCTGGCCAACATGGTGAAACCCCGTCTCTACTAAAATATAAAAATTAGCAGGGCATGGTGGTGGGCGCCTATAATCCCAGCTACTCAGGAGGCTGAGGCAGGAGAAGTGCTTAAACCTGGGAGGCGGAGGTTAGAGAGAGCCAAGATCGCACCAGGTCAGCCTGGGTGACAGAGCAAGACTCCGTCTCGAAAAAAAGAAAAAAGTGACAACCCACCTGTCACAATGTAACAGCCCAGTTTAGCTGGTCAAAAAGGCCATGGGCACAATGAATGCCAAAGCTACCTGAGCAAGAAGCCAAAACAGTATCCCAGATACAGGCAAGCCCCTGGCTGCACTCACGGATACAAAGGAGGCCTGGCAGCTGGTTAGGTCGCTTTGGGTACTGGAGACAACATGCATCTCACATGGGGGTTCTTCTGGCACCCAGAGTCAAGGTAACCAATAAAGCCACACACTTTGAATGGAACCCTTTGCAGCAGCAGGTTTACAACAATTTGTGTCTCAGGCACTTCCTTTTAAACCTTAAATGTGCTAGCCAGATGAAATCACAGTTGTGTGCAACCTGATGCACAGTGATGGATGTCTCTGGCAACAGAAAACTGACACTGGGGTGTACCAGCCTCTCAGATCTTGGACACATAAGTTGCCTCAGGCAGCCACCAAATATCCCTCTTTATTTTATTTTATTTTTTTGAGATGGAGTTTCACTTTTGTTGCCCAGGTTAGAGTGCAATGGTGCAATCTCGGCTCATTGAAACCTCTGCCTCCCGGGTTCAAGCAATTCTCCTGTCTCAGCCTCCTGAATAGCTGGGATTACAGGCGCATGCCACCATGTCCGGCTAATTTTTCTATTTTTAGTAGAGATGGGGTTTCATCACATTGGTCAGGCTGGTCTCGAACTCCTGACCTCAGGTGATCCACCCGCCTTGGCCTCCCAAACTGCTGGGATTACAGGCATGAGCCACCACGCCCGGCCTATATCCCTCTTTTAAATGGCAATCCTTACTTGATATTGGGTACTGTTTTGGACTGGGCACCTCGTGGCCAGAATGCCAGATGAAACTCTGCAACCTGAACTGCCATTTCTCTCTGGATGGCTCACAAGCTCAACCAATAAAATTAGACAGGCTCCATAGACTTCACTTATCAAATGGAAGTGGTGCATTCAAGTTCAGGCCCAGCTAGGACCACATGTGACCAGCAGGCTCCGTGAACAAATGGCTAGCTAATTAGAAGACACCAAGAGAACCACTGGGTGTGCTTTGGCTCCTCCCATGGCTGTCTGGAGCCTAAGGCTCCAAGACAAGCCTGCTGATGGTGTGGCATGGTTTACTGATGGCTCAGTGAAACAACAGAGCAGATGGGGTCTGTTAGGCTGTGGTTGTCATCATCATTTGTCAGAATAAACCTTGGCAATTTGCCCAGTGGACCAAACAACACGCATTTGTGATGACCATGCAGGCCACCCCTACCACCAGGTCTTCCTGCATTTCACCAATGTGTGGGCCGTTGCTGACAGCCTACATACCTCATCAGGGAATGGCAATTGAGTGACTAGAATATTTAAAGAGCCTCTTTGTGGGGACAAAGACTATCAAAACAGCTTGCTACTTGGAAAGGACAAAAAATATGCACGCTTGTGGATGCTGATACTACCATTGCTGTTATTGAGGAGAACTTATGTCATGATTTTGAACACCCCAGAGGACCTCAGTCTCACCAAGAAGCATCCTTCACTACATGACCAGCAAAACAATGGCCATGCTCTCATGGAATATGATGGGCTTTGTATGCACCCTGTCATCTGCAAGCCAATGGAGCTACTGAACAATGGAACAGCCAAAGCAACTGAAGATAGGACATCAAGAAGGCCTGCTCAGGAGGCGGTACTTCTATCTAGTAGTATGAACACTAAACACTACACTCCAATGCATGGGAAATGGGGCACTGCAGCACATGTTGGGAAACACTGAGCTTGATGTGGATGGAGGTGGACCAGGTAGCTGGCTAATTAGGCTGTTCCTGTGAAATTCCAACCTCAGTGTTCCCTACCATTCTTTTTCCTTTTCTCTTCAAAGTGCATGTTCTTGGGGGTGGTTTGTGGTTCAGGCCACCATAAAACCCCAGAAAGGGCCCCCTAACTCTAATTTTATGGCAGTGTTCCCCAAGGTGACCCCCACTTTCTATGGGATCTCACAGTGTTGGGGGACAGGATCAGGGAGGACCAGGGTGCTAGGAACCCTCTAGTAGTGCGGGAAACATCTGATACTTCCAGTGGGGTGGCTTATGTTATCAGGCACATCAAGTTTATATAGGACATGTCCTCCCTTGCTGGACTGGATGACTGAAATCAACTTGTTTAGATCTATAACAAGTGCTTTGGGTGCCAGCAGAAGTAGTAACCTCAGCACAGGGACAGACAAACTGGCTACACCAGCTCAATCCAATCCTTATCTGATAGATAGGGAAGATCTGAGACCCAGGGAGGGGCAGGTGGGAACGAATCTCGTAATCCATTCTTTCTACAGGGTCATGGCAGCAGAGGCCAGGAAGCCTAAAGCCTTTGTTAGGATTTCCCAAGCTGTGGCCACTATGGGAAACATTGATTACGGTGGTAATTTCATGACAGTATGTATTTGTTGAAACTCTATAAACTGTGTACTGGAAAAGGATGGATATCACCTCCAGAAACCCAATTTTAAAAATTAAAGAGTTGGCGCCGGGCATGGTGGCTCACGCCTGTAATCCCAGCACTTTGGGAGGCCGAGGCGGGTGGATCACGAGGTCAGGAGATTGAGACCATCCTGGCTAACGCGGTGAAACCCCGTCTCTACTAAAAATACAAAAATTTTACCTGGGCGTGGTGGCAGGTGCCTGTAGTCCCAGCTACTTGGGAGGCTGAGGCTGGAGAATCACTTGAACCAGGGAGGTGGAGCTTGCAGCGAGCCGAGATTGGACCACTGTACTCCAGCCTAGGCGACAGAGCGAGACTCCGTCTCAAAAAAAAAAAAATAAATAAATAAAGAGTTGGCCGGGCACAGTGGCTCATGCCTGTAATCTCAGCACTTTGGGAGGCCGAGGCAGGCGGATCTTCTGAGGTCAGGAGTTCAAGACCAGCCTGGCAAACATGGTGAAACCCTGTCTCTACTAAAAATACAAAAATTAGCTGGGCATTGTGGTGCATGCTATAATCCCAGCTACTTGGAAGGCTGAGGCTGGAAAATCCCTTGAACCAGGAGGCGGAGGTTGCAGTGAGCCAAGATTGTACCACTGCATTCTGGCCTGGGCGACAGAGTGAGACTCCAACTCAAAAAAAAAAAATTTAAAGAGTTATTGCATCAAAATCCTTTTAATCTTTCTTTCTTTAAATCAGTAGCCCCCCAAGCCGGGCATGGTGGCTCACGCCTGTAATCCCAGCACTTTGGGTGGCCGAGGCGGGTGGATCACGAAGTCAGGAGATCGAGACCATCCTAGCTAACACGGTGAAACCCCGTCTCTACCAAAAATACAAAAAAATTAGCCAGGCATGGTGGTGGGCGCCTGTAGTCCCAGCTACTCGGGAGGCTGAGGCAGGAGAATGGCGTGAACCCAGGAGGCGGAGCTTGCAGTGAGCCAAGATCGCAGCCACTGCACTCCAGCCTGGGCTACACAGTGAGACTCCACCTCAAAAAAAAAAAAAAATCTGTAGCCCCCTCAAGTCGCAATATATGATTAGTGTTTTTCCACGGGATTTTTCCATTTACTCGCTCTGCATAAATATAAAATGGTTAAGAGTCCCACCTATAGGTAGGTTCAGACTTAACGCTTGCCCAAACTCCCATTCACAGCTGTACAAGGAGTTCATTCTTTTCGCCAGAGTTACCTTTGGACATCTTTACCTCTCGGTAGTCCTTTGCTTCCTTCTGTAGCTTGAAATCTCTATTCATGCTTGTTGTGGCTAAGATTTATACATTGAAGCTACTGGAGTACAGGAAATACTACCCCAATGTATGGCACCCTGGCACACTAAGGATTTTAAGCTGGAGGAGACAGAAAACTCCAGAGGGAGAAAGGTTTGAAATGACCTGCTCCCACCTCTTCTCTCCTGAAGACCCTCATGTGACAGGTATTCTGCCCTATGCCCGAAGGGAAGGAATATCAAACTTGGAGGCCAAGAAGAACCTGAACAGTCAGGCCTTGGTAAGTTCCTCCCAGTTTATTACCATTAGATCATACCCTTTTGTCCTCCAATCATACTTCTAAATGACTGTCCATAAAAATGCACAGTTCTCCCTAGATGTTTGAGTTTTCATTTCCGTAGTCTCCTGTGTCACATAAAACTTACATTAAATGCATTTGTGGCTGGGCGTGGTGGATCACGCCTATAATCCCAGCACTCTGGGAGGCCGAGCAGGGCGGATCACCTGAGATCAGGAGTTTGAGACCAGCCTGGCCAACATGGTGAAACCCCATCTTTACTAAAAAATACACAAATTAGCTGGGTGTGGTGGTGGGCGCCTATAGTCCCAGCTACTCGGGAGACTGAGGCAGGAGAATCGCTTGAAAACGGGACGCAGAGTTTGTGGTTAGCAGAGATCACACCACTGCACTCCAGCCTGGGCAACAGAAGTGAGGCTCCGTCTCAAAAAAAAAATGCATTTGCATACTTTTCTTTTGTTAATCTGGATTTTGTTATGAGGACTCAGCCACGAACCTTGCAGCAGGTGAAGGAAAGGTATTATTTTTCTCCCCTGCAGAGCCCTCACCCCCAGTGTCTCAGAATGTGACTGTTTGGACATAGGGCCTTCTATTAGATGATTAAGGTAAATGAGGTCATTAAGGTGGGCCAAATCCTATCTGCCTGGTGTCCCTATAAGAATAGAATGCTTGGATGAGAGAACCAGGGATGTGCAAGCACAGGGGAAGGAAGAGGTGAGAGCACAGAGAGAAGGTGGCCATCTGCCAGCCACGTAGAGAGGTCACAAAGAATACAACCTTGCCGGCCTCTAGAACGTTATAGCCTCCAGAACGTTAACTTCTGTTGCGTAAGCCACCCAGTCTCTGGTACTTTGTTATGGTAGCCGTAGCATATTAAGACAATGCTCAAGGAATCAACTCACTCATCTCACTTCAGAAACTGATCCCTTTGGGAGGCCGAAGAGGGAAGATGGCTTGAGCCTAGGAGTTCGAGACCAGCCTGGGCAACAAAGCGAGACCCTGTCTCTCTTAAAAAAATAAAGAAAAAAGAAATTGACTTCCTGACCACTCAGGTTGTTTTTAAATATACTTTCTCTCTGGATTAGTAACATACTCCGCGCATAGGTTCTGGACCTTTCTTCCCCATGGTACGTTTAAAAAGTTGTACATTTTGGTCAGTGGTTCTGTTCTCATTTCATAGTCTTCATTTTAAATGACCCAATAATTACCAAACAAACAGAAAGAATGTATGCATTCATTATGGGGATGAGAGGGAGAAACAGAATAGACAACTCTGATGGGGAATGATCTGAATTTTAGTATTCCTAAACACATCAGGATGCTCCTCCTATGGAAGCAGGTTCCAGTGAATGGCAATACTGCCACAGGCAGGCCAGAAACAGCAGTAACGTGGGAAATAGTAGACTCATAAGTAAGTAAAACATCTAAAATGATAAGCTGTGATTTGCTTCTACAAAATTAAGGTAATTTTAAATTCTTAGGCATTTGATTAAAGTTTGAACAAAATTGGACAAAATGTGACAATGCACATTTACTACAGCTAGCAAATGATATTTGCTACATACTAAAGTAATGTAGTCACATATAAGAAGAAAAACAGCATGCCTATATATGTTACTTGTATTTTTTTAGAAAACTAAAACAAAATTTTATTTGATGCTTTGAATACAAATAACTTATTTTCATATATATACTATATATTTTATATATAGTATATATATCTATATATTTTATATATAGATATATAGTATATATATCTATATATTTTATATATAGATATATATACTATATATCTATATTTTTATATATAGATATATATACTATATATATCTATTTTATATATAGATATATATACTATATATATCTATTTTATATATAGATATATATACTATATATACTATATATATTATATGCATTTCTTTTTTTTTTTTCAGATGGAGTCTCGCTCTGTTGCCCAGGCTGGAGTGCAGTGGCACTCTCAGCTCACTTTAACCTCCACCTACCAGATTCAAGCGATTCTCCTGCCTCAGCCTCCTGAGTAGCTGGGATTACAGGTGACTGCCACCACGCCTGGCTATATATATATATATATATATATATATAGAGAGAGAGAGAGAGAGAGAGAGGGAGAGAGAGAGACAAGGTCTCACTCAGTAGCTAGATTGGAGTGCAGTGACCTGATCATGATCACAGCTCACTGTAACAAGTGATGCTCCCATCTCAGGCTGCAGAGTAGCTAGGACAACAGACGGTCACTACCATGCCCAGCTAGATTTTTACACTTTTTATAGAGACGGGCTCTTGCTATGTTGCTCAGGCTGGCAAATGACTTATTTTCACACTGTGCATCTGGTAATCCAGATGAAGTTGAAAACTGAGTCAATAAGGATTGATTTGCTGTCTGAGCTGTAAGCTCCATTCTTCATACACAAATCAGTTTATTTTGTTGGGGCTCAGATATACCAAAGACTGGTGCTTTGTCATGCTGAGCCGTCTTAGAATTTGCCTCAGAATGAAGGTCTCTCTAATCTTGTCTCCCACTCCCAAGTCCAGGAAGAGCCTCTCTGAAATTTCCTTATCTGACCAAGCAAGCTTCTTTACAAAAGAAATATAATGGGATGGGCATTTACAGGCTGGGCACAGTGGCTCACGCCTGTAATCCCAGCACTTTGGGAGGCCAAGGCAGGTGGATCACGAGGTCAGGAGTTTGAGACAAGCCTGACCAACATGGTGAAACCCCGTCTCTACTAAAAATACAAAAATTAGCTGGGTGTGGTGGCAGGCGCCTGTAATCCCAGCTGCTCAGGAGGCTGAGGCAAGAGAATCACTTGAATCTGGTAGGTGGAGGTTGCAGTGAGCCAATATCATGCCACTGCACTCCAGCCTGGGCAACAGAGTGAGACTCCATCTGAAAATAAAATAAAATAAAGAAATGCAATGGTCTTGAACATCCTCCCCAGGGATCTCATCAAGTAACCAGGAAAGATCAAGAGGCTGGGAGTCCTCACCAGCCCAGACACACCTACCGTCTGTTCTTTTGAGGTCAGCTCCAAGAGATTATCTGGAGGACTTAATTTGCATTAAACAACAACCTCTCTTCCTGCGTAGCTCTGCACCTCACCTTCTCCTAATGTCTGCTTCCTGCCTCCTGGGTCTGTTCATTCTCCTTGATGGTCTATTGCCTCTTAAAATAATAGTCTATGTTACACATCGCCTTCTTCCTCTATGAAAACAGATATATAAACGTGTGTACCTCACTGGGTCATCATTCTTTTGTGGTTCCCTCCCTATGCAATTTAAAATAAAATTTTACATACCTTTTCTTCTATTAATCTTCCTTTTGCCAGTTGATTTTTCAGTGAACCTTCAGAGGACAAAGGGGAACTTTTTTCTTTGCCCTTATAGTTTAATCCGTGCATTAGTTTAACACCTACGTATTCTCACCAGTGAGGTCAGAGGAATTATCCTAGGCTCTGAAAACACAGAATTGAAAAATTTTCTGTCTCCAAAGGGCTTACATTTTACTACTAGCATTCCAGGTGCTATAAGTAAAAATCAGGTAAACATTCTGTTCCATTCTAATCAAGTATCTACTGTTAGCAGGAGACATGGACATAAGCTTCCAAAAAGCTGCTCTGTGACCATCTAACACCACAGCAACCCAGGAACCAAGCTCCAGGCATCATTCATCATTCTCATCATTTCTACTCTGTTTCCATCATCTTTTTTTTTTTTTTTTTTTTTTTTTTTGAGACAGAGTCTCGCTCTGTCGCCCAGGCTGGAATGCAGTGGTGCAATCTTGGCTCACTGCAAGCTCCGCCTCCCGGGTTCATGCCATTCTCCTGCCTCAGCCTCCCGAGTAGCTGGGACTGCAGGCGCCTGCCACCACGCCTGGCTAATTTTTGTATTTTTAGTAGAGACGGGGTTTCACCGTGTTAGCCAGGATGGCCTCGATCTCCTGACCTCGTGGTCCGCCCGCCTCGGCCTCCCAAAGTGCTGGGATTACAGGCCCTGAGCCACCGCGCCCGGCCTCCATCATCTTTTGAGTTCTACGTTCATCATCTGTACAGCTGCAGCAAGTCTGTGTATATTTTTCATCTAACTGCCAGCTTGCTCCACCAAGTTGAACTGACCTTGGACTCTTAGTCCAAGATGCCATGGACCCAAAGAGTGACCGGTAGCAAGGCTTATTGTGAAGAGCGAAGAGACAAACCTTCCATTGCGTGGAAAGGGACCCCAGCGGATTGTGGCTGCTGGCTGGGGTTACCAGCTTTAATTCCTTTATTGTCCCCACCCATGTTCCATTTCTGTCCTATCAGAGTGCCCTTTTTTCAATCCTCCCCTCAATTGGCTACTTTTAGAATCCTGCTGACTGGTGCATTTTACAGAGCGCTGATTAGTGCATTTTAAAATCCTCTGTAAGACAGGAGATTTCCCCAAGTCCCCACTCGACCCAGGAAGTCCAGCTGGCCTCACCTCTCACAACCATGTCAGTAATCCCTTTGAGTAGCAATGGTTGAAATGCACCAATTAAAGACACATTGTCAGAGTAGATCTAAAAACAAGTCCCCGTTATATCTTGTATATTGGAAATCTGTATAAATATGAAGACATACATAGACAATTGCAAATTTAAATCAATGAGATATCATCTCACACTTGTTAGAATGGCTATTTTAAAAGACAAAAGTTAGTGTTGATAAAGATAGGGAGAAAAGGGAACATGTGTACTGTCGGTGGGAATGTAAATTAGTACAATATAGTAATTATGGGAAAAATTGTGAAGGATCCTAAAAAAAAAAACAATAGAATTACCCTTTGATCGAGCAGTCTTATTACTGGGTATATATCCAAAGGTAATAAAATCTGCCTTGGGAGATTTCATTGACTATCCGGTGTGTTGGATAGATATCTGCACTCCCACATTCATTCCAGAATTAGTCACAATAGCCAAATATGGGATCAACCTAAGTGCCCATCAACAGATTAATGGATAAAAAGAATGCAGTGTATATGCAAAACAGGATATTATCGGCCTTAAAAAGGGAGAATTACTGTCATTGGAGGCAGAATGAATGTATCTGCATGACAATATGTTAAATGAAATATGCCGGGAAGAGAAAGACAAATACCACATGAACCCATGTGTAAGCGGAATCTAAAAAAGCTCATTTATATAAATACAAAGTAGAATGGTGAGTACTAGGGCCTAAGGGTGGTAGGGGATGAGGATGGGTAGATGATTGTGAATGGGTACAAAATTTCAGTTAGATAGGAAGAAAAAGATCAAGAGATTGTACAACATGGTAACTATAGTTAACAATAAATTGCATTATGAAAAATGAAGAAAGAGTGGATGTAAAGTGTTCTTGCCACGAAAAATAACTGTGTGAGGTAACACATATGTTCTTAGCAAGAATTTTTCACTTCACAATATATATTATTCTTCAAACATCATGTTTGAAGATGATGTGAAGATTTTACATAGTCAATACCTCAAATTTTGTCAATTAATAAGAGTAAATGTAAAAAAAGTAAAAGTACATATAAAAGTAAATGAATGAAACAAAATGTACCTTGCTAACAGTAACCAGAAGAAAGCAGGCATAGCTTTATTAGCTTCAGAAAGAATGTAATGTAAATACAGGAAAATTATCAGGGATAAAGACCTTATGTGATAATAAAGGGATCGATTTTCCAAGAAAATATAATGATCCTTAATATATATGCATGTAACAACAGAGCAACAGGGCATCAGTCTACGTGAGGCAGAAACTGTTAAAACCACAATAAGAAATAGATGAATCCGCTATTATCGTTGGAGACTTTCAACACTCCTCTATCAGAAATAGACAGATCCACCAAGCAGAAAAAATCAGTAAGGACATAGTTGAACTCAACAGTATCATCAGTCAATTGGATATAATTGACATCTACAGACTTTATCCAACAACGGGCAGAATACACATTGAACTCAAGCCCACAGGACCACTCATCGAGATGCACCACATTCTCCTCCATAAAACACACCTGAAACCATTTAAAAGAATCAGACTAATACAATGTATGCACTCAAAACACAACAGAATTAAGCTAGAAATCAATTTTTAAAAACTGGTGAATTGCAAAATACGTGGAGATTATATAATTCATTTCCAAATAATACATGGGTCAAAGAAATCTCAAGAGAAATTTTTTAAAATAATTTGAACTAAATTGAAAGGAAAACACACCTCATCAAAATTTGTCAGCTACAACAGGGAAGCTTAGAGGAAAATTACAGCATTGAGTGTGTATATATTAGAAAAGTTGAAACCCAAAATTCAAACATCTAAATTTTTACTGTAAAAGGAAGCAGAGCAATTGAATCCAAAGTAAGTGGGAGAAAATATATAACATTGGAAACACGGCAAAAACAAAGTAAAAGGTAAAGCACCTGGAATTTTCAAGTGAGTATCGATAGTTTCATATTTTCCAGGACATACAAGTCCAAAGTTAAGTAGGATAGCATAACAGTCCCAACAGGACTGTTGCTTAAGATCATGGAGAGGTGACCCCCACTGAATTCAGGCGACACAAATCTTCAGAAATGATCAACCAAAGGCCTGTAAAGCAAGGTAATTTCATTTGGCTACCAAGTCAGGAAATGCATTAACCATGAATAATCCACCAAAAATAAACGTTAAGTATTGCTAGGTATACAAGGCATGGTTACGTGTGGTAGAAAGAATAAAGTCAAAATACATGCTATGCTCTGAAAAACATGAGAAAATTGTGGGGTTTGTATGCGAACATCAACATGTAAGCGGTCATGCACGTACACTGACAAACGTGTATATCCTCAGAGAATAATTTCATCAACACCCACTGCTACCACCTCTGAAGTCCCCTGCCTGCCTTGCCCGTGTAGCTTCCCTGGGGTCCCTTCTCTGTGCAGCTGCAAACCCACCTCATTTGCAGTTTGCTGTTAGGATGCTCTCACCCTGTGGTGTATCTTTCATCAGGTGGTGGTGAGCTGGCCACTGTGAATTTTCAGATCCACAGATCCCACTTACATCTGCAAAATGACAGACAGGAAAGAAAGTTCTTTGCCCCTTTTCACTCTCTTTTGTCCTCAGCACCAACCCCTCCTGGCAATGCTAATGGTCCTGCACAGTGGACTGGGGCCACCCTCACCTGTTCTGACTGGTTCCTGAATCAGAAGACCTCATGGATTGGGGATAACATTTCATAAAAGAACTGAGACATTCAAATCCCTCCCCACAGAATGCAGTCCTCAGAGAGCGGCCCCTGCATCACTTTCTGAGCTGCCCGGCACCCTCACCCCCATGCCCAGTCCCTGCATGGTCTGCCCTTCCTTCTCCTGCCTCCTCATGTATTACTCATCCCAGTGGTCCTTCCAACCCACCACCCTCTTCTCATGCCCTGGCCTGTGCCACAGACACACTGTTTCCTCCTCGCTTTCCCTGCCCTGTTTGCTGGACTCACTGCTCCTCACTCTCCACAATCTCCTCCAAAGCTCCTCCTCCTGGAGGCCTCCCTTGCCCACCCAGTCCAGGCCTGAAACTTGCCCTCTGGGCTCCCAAGGGCAGCTCTTCCACTTGCAGTTTAGTTTCTGTTGCGTTTTCTGAATCCCCATTGGCCTTTAACATCTGAGAATTTGGAAACTTTGTCTATATTGCTTCCCTGTGAGCCCCACACATATAGTGAACAAAGAGCAACACAGAATATCTTCCTTTATGTTGAATTTCACAAAGAAATTAATGAATCTCTCAAACTCCTCACCTATATTCTTTTCTGCTTCCCAAGAAACTAAAAACTTTCTTTCAATCTGAAGAGAGTTTGCACTTGAAGATGAACATGTTTCTTTTTTTCCCTTTCTCATCTCAGGACAACATGTGACTCCCCTCAGCCTCTTCTCCAGCCTCCCCATCCTTAGTCCACTGCTTAGCCCCTCCCCTGGGCCACGCTGCTCTATCATCTGCACCTATTCTTTCTATCTGGAAAGAATTTTTTAATTTTGCCCTTTTAAACGAACAATTTTTTTTCTTGATTTCCAAGATTCAGCTACATTAGTATGGCTTCCTTGCTAAATATTTTCAAACACTTATTTAGTTATTTACTTTTTTAGAGATGGAGCCTAGCTATATTTCTCAGGCTGCAGTGCAATGGATATTCATAGTTGTGATCACAGAGCATAGCAGCCTCCAATTCCTGGGCTCAAGCAATCAAATGCTTATTACTTACTATCCTTCTAAATTTTTAGCGTATGTTTATTTTTCTTTCTTTTTTCTTTCTTGTTTTTTTCGAGACGGAGTCTCGCTCTGTCGCCCAGGCTGGAGTGCAGTGGCGCGATCTCAGCTCACAGCAAGCTCCGCCTCCCGGGTTCAAGCCACATATGTTTATTTTTCAAATTTTATCACAATAGCTGTTACCCTGGTGGCATCAATGACATGGCGTTATTGAGGGCACATGCGTGATCTTGTAATAAAATCTTCTGTTGTCACCTTCAGGTAAGATCACCTGCATTCAATACCTACAGAATGGATGTCAACGGGAAGGTGCAAATCGCACTGACAATGATGCAGCCTGTTTTATTAAGAAATGTTTCATTGCCATTACTCTTTATGCCACAGAGGATTACGTGAACACATTCATTTCTCTGGATTAAAATCTTGTTTAGAACTATCATAGTCAAAATTTTAAGACTTTTATAATTTCATTTATGAGTTAATCTCAATATTGTGTTAAATTTTATGTGAGTAAAACTTGTGATTTTATAATTCTAGAAGGGCTTTTTCCATAAATATAAAATATGCTGTTATGTGTATAGGGTCATGTACCACATAAGGGCCGTTTTGGTCAACAACAGACAATATGCACGTTGCTGGTCCCATAAGATTGCAATGGAGTTGAAAATTTATCTTATCTTGTGACATTGTAGCAATCATAATGTCATTAGTATTTCAGGATTTTTTTTTTTTTTTTGAGATGGAGTCTCGCTTTGTCACCCAGTCTGGAGTGCAGTGGTGCAGTCTTGGCTCACTGTAACCTCTGCCTCCTGGGTTCAAGTGATTCTCCTGCCTCAGCCTCCTGAGTAGCTGGGATTACAGGCATGTGCCACAATGCCCGGCTAATTTTTGTATTTTTAGTAGAGACAGGGTTTCACCATCTTGGTCAGGCTGGTCTCGAACTCCTGACCTCGTGATCCTCCTGCCTCAACCTCCCAAAGTGCTGGGATTACAGACGTGAGCTACTGCGCCTGGCCTACTTCAGGTTTTTAAAATAAATTTAGTATAGCGTAAGCATACAGTGTTTCTTTTTTTTTTTTTTTTTTTTGAGACAGAGTCTCGCTCTTTCACCCAGGCCAGAGTGCAGTGGCGCGATCTCAGCTCACTGGAAGCTCTGCCTCCCAGGTTCACCCCATTCTCCCGCCTCAGCCTCCTGAGTATGCTGGGACTACAGGCGCCCGCCACCGCACCCGACTAACTTTTTTGTATTTTTAGTAGAGACGGTGTTTCACCGTGTTAGCCAGGATGGTCTCAATCTCCTGACCTCGTGATCCGCCTGCCTCGGCCTCCCAAAGTGCTGGGATTACAGGCGTGAGCCACCGCGCCCGGCTGCATACAGTGTTTCTTAAATCTACAGTAGTGTACAATAATGCCCTAGACCTTCACCTTCACTCACAACTCACTCACTCACTCACCTGGATGAACTTCCGGTCCTGCAAAATCCACTCATGATATCTGCTTTAAACAGCAGTACCAGTTAAAAAATGTTTTATATCATATTTTTACTATAGTATATGTATATATATGTATGTGTGTGTATGTGTATATATATGGGATATGACACCATCGTGTTATCATTGCTTACAGTTCAGTAAAGGTTTGTAGCCTAGAAGCAACATGCTTTACCATATAGCCTAGCCATGTAGTAGGCTATACCATCTAAGTTTGTGTAAGTACTCTCTACGTTGTTCTCATAATGACAAAATTGCCTAAAAATGCACTTCTTAGACTGTATTTGCCATTAGTCAATGCGTGACTCTAGTTTAATTGGCAGAGATATTACCTTTCTTTTAGATCCACCTTAAATATTTGATTTGTTGACACAGAATGGCTGACACCCACTGAGACTCCTACCTATACCCATGCATAGACTAACTCTGACCTTCCCTCTAGTGTTACACACGCCCATTAAATCATAGGTTTTTCTTTATGAGTTTCATTCACATTGTTCCTTTGTATTGCCAACTAGAAGCAAATAACCAGAGACACAGTAATCGTCAAGTAATTTCAGAAGGTATGAATCCAAATACTGCAGAAAAACTAACAGGGTTTGTACATGCCTTAACCAATGTAAAAACCAAGAATGGGTAAATTACGTGGAATGATGGTTGGCAAGACACAGTACATCAGGCAATGAGCACAGTGATACCTGAGGAATGTGAGGCAGCCATGCAAGCCCACTATTTCCTCATGTTATTGCTTCAAGAGAGTTCCCTGCTGTGGAGCAGCAAGGACTTTTGGAGAGTTTTGTGTTGAGATGAAACTGAGGGTCTGAAAGAACAGGTTTGCCCAATTCCATCAAGACCTCCAAGTACAGTGTTAACAGTGGGAGACAGTAATCATGACAGCTCCCAGTCAGAAATTGACTTATGCCAGCCATTTTCTACAGAGACATGGATCACAGAGCAGTCCAGGAGAAAAAGGGAAGGACACATCGAGAAGACATTTGAATGAAGTTGGCCTTCAACTCTTTCATCTTATTCATGATGCTAAAAGACACAGCCCTTTACATGACACGGCCATCTTGCAACAATCCCAAGGATAAAGGTAGCCCAACAGAGAGGAAGGAAATATGTATAAGTAGGTTGAACCCCTCCCCCTTGACCCAAACCTGAATTTCCTATGATTTGTTGGTATATGCGTCTGATAAACCTGTATTGTGTAATAAAAGCACTCCCTGAGGTATGACTTCAGATTTCCCAACTTTATAATTGTGAGAAAGCAATACACATTCAGTAGAAATTGTACTTCGAGTACCCATACAACCATTCTGCTTTTCATTTTCATTGCAGTATTCAATAAGTTACATGAGATATTTAACACATTATAAAATATGGTTTCTGTTAGATGATTTTGTACAAATGTAGGCAAATATAAGTGTTCTGAGCACTCTTAAGACAGGCTAGACTAAAGTATGATGTTCAGTAAGGTAGGCATGTTAAACACATTTTGACTGGTGATATTTTCAATTTATGATATTTCAATTTATGGTGATATTTTCAATTTATGAAACCATTTTCAATATGGTTTATTGGGAAGTAGCCCCAACTTAAGTTGAGGACCATCTGTAATTTCAATGGAGCTTTCCATTTATCAGAACAGAACGCAACTCTCATCAATGAAGAATAAACCAGTAAATCTTATCTCCTCTATTTGTTTCCCCAGAAAACTTCTAGTTTCTTTCAGATTTGGGAATCATCTTTCCCTTGTCCTTCATTACATAAATACCATTATCTATCTAGTTTGCAATGACTATTAGGTTCTTCTAAATTTGTAGTGAAATTTAAGGTCAATGGCGCGAGGTCATAATACAATAAAAGAATGAAGATGAGGGTTACTTAAAAAAATTAACCAAGGTCTGCTCTTGAGATTTTCTGTATAGGGTATTGAAACCCCGAGTGCCTGACTGCAGCATTGCCTGGCAAACAAAGCTCTATCAATAATGTGAAATAAAAATATCCATAAACTATCAATGCTCTTGGTCCATTGCTTTTTCACATCTCATGTATCTTAAATAAGTGCCCCCCAGAATCGCTTTTAGACCATAAGATTGAGGATTTCATTACTTGTATAACAGCCATTTGCTATTGAATCTCATAGATCCACCCTGCAGGAATGAGTCCTTCATTAGAGAATGTGTTTCTCTCAATTCAATCCTGTTGGCATTTGCACAATTCGTATTGCAGAACCTAAACAATTCCTAGCCTGCTTTTTGGACTCCTAAGTTGTTTCTTCAAGAGGAAGTTAGTGTTTAACCTAGGGTGAGGAATCCTATCTTTACTTGCCATCTAGTCTCATACAAACGATATATGAGGAGTGTCAAAGGTTCAGCCTAAAACAATGGACATTAATGGAGCACGTAAAACCTAAAAAGTAGGTAAACTATTGACTAAGTCAATAAAAATGAACATATAAAAATTAAAAAAGTAGTTTGCTCATTGATATAGAAGAAATAAAGATTGTAATTCCCTTTCTACAAGATGATACTATTAAAATATATGCTGCTTGAAGATGTATGACATTTCCTGAGTGGCATTTTTATTTCAGTGCAAACTAATCACTCATAAAGGAGTAAGAAAATAATACATCTCTGTATTATGGATTTTCTGTAGGAAGGCAAGTCAAGCAGCCATTTACAAAACCAAAGTGAAAATACTCAAATATGCAAGCCAATGTCTATAGCTTTTGGGTAAGGAGAAAAACAAACAATATGACGACACTCATTTGCACGGTAGCAAAGTAGCTGTCTCTGCATTCAGAATGGGACTCTCAGTGTTCTGTCTACACAAATTAATTCCTTGTGCACCTTCCACAATAAGAACAAACTAAGCCACGTAATTTAAACTATCATAGCTTCTTTAAGCCTGCGATTGTAAGTAAATTTTGTCCTGTGGCTCTCAGGAAAGTCTCTGACCCTCTCCTTTTCAACCAGTCGTATTTCATAGCAAATTTCTGGAAAACACTAAAACAGAGAATATGTAACATTTGTCTTTCTTAATAAAGTGCTATTTTCATTTAATTACTAAAGAAAGATGATTGAACAGATGAAAATAATTAAATATGTATTTCGAAAAATGATTATGATAGCATTTTAAAATACAGGAATGAAAGGCATTAATATACAATACAAAATATGAATTGGTTTTAAATGATGTTTATGTGATTAAAAGAAAGACAATCGCATGCAAGTTTTAAAGATATCTGCACCCCCACCTCCAAAAAAGCAATATGAAATGTTACCAGGAAGGTGTCATTGATCAGCGACCACAGTTACTGTAGAGAAAAGCCTTTCTTATGCAAAAAGGCCGCATTCCTCAAATAGCCCCAGAGAGAGGGCAGGGGGCAGCTGACCTTGCCCCCGCAAACCACACAGAAGGCTCTGAGCTCAGCTACAGTGGCTGCGGCCAGCCCTTGGTGGGCGTGGTCTGCAGCAGGAGGACCGCATTCGAGGTCGGCGCAGGAGGACAACTGCGCTTGCGCAGGAGGCACCCAGGGATGACTGACAGCTCTCTGCCACCTCTGGCTGTTGCTGGAGGAGTACAAAGTACCCCAGGTTCCAAAAACCAGGCAACCATAATGAGGAGCCTTGACATCTAATTTATTTCACTGGGACTGGACTAAACAAATAAAGCGGGGAGCAGTGTTCGGGGATTGTCAAGATTCAAGAGAACATTAGAGACATAAGCAACAACAGCAATGTTCTAAAGTTCTAAATCCTTTTATTTCAAGGTACAGCTGGGAATATTGGTGTAGGAGCAAAGTATCCAGGATTTACTAGCCTCTTTCTTCCTTTTAGAACACCACAGTAGATAGGCTAAAGGGCTGTGGATGGAAAATTCTTGTATTAAATGAAGACTCTTAGTAATTAAGACAATGTAATATTTGCACAGATAGAAAGGTGAACCAATGAAATAAAGGAAAGCTCAAAACAGACAAAATAATATAAATGCAAATAATTAATAAGAGCAGTTATTAGTAGAAAGATGGCTTTTACAATCAATGTTCTAGGAAATTAATGTTCATTGGGGGAAGTTAAATGTACCTTTAACTTCACATTACACATAAAATTAATTGCAGGTGCATCATAGACCCAAATATAAATACCTTTTAATACAGTATTTACAACCTATGTTAGGAAAATATCTTCATGACTATAGGCTAGCATAAGATTTATTAAATTAGACCTACAATGTATTCACAATTTAACAGAAAAACATTTTCTAACATAGTTTATGTGAGCAAGGACTATGGAGACAGCCCTTTTTTTGCAGGGCTTTAGCTCAAATTCAGAACTTGTACTTAGGAGTGGTAATAGAACCTACCTTTTGATATTTTGGGAGAAATGAATGAACTAATGATACATAATGCCTGTAGATAAATATCAGGTCTATACTAATCACAACATCAGTATGCTAATATTGACAGTGTTTTCTAAGTAATTTAAATATATTTTTTGTATCAATTGTAAAATACATCATTATTTTACGCCATAGTAAAGGAATAAAATCATTGACAAGATATGGTACAAATACTTCCTACACCTTATAATTTTTACCTCACAATTAATGACAATAACTCTTTTCGACATATATAAATGTGGATATTTGTTTTATATCACTCCAATGAGATGCAAATATAAGCAAATCACGTTAAAAAAGGTATTGCTGCTCGGCGCGGTGGCTCACACTTGTAATCCCAGCACTTTGGGAGGCCGAGGCGGGAGGATCCTGAGGTCAGGAGATCGAGACCATCCTGGCTAACACGGTGAAACCCCATCTCTACTAAAAATACAAAAAATTAGCCAGGTGTGGTGGCAGGTGCCTGTAGTCCCCTCAGCTACTCAGGAGGCTGAGGCAGGAGAATGGCGTGAACCTGGGAGGCGGAGCTTGCAGTGAGCCGAGATTGTGCCACTGCACTCCAGCCTCAGCAACAGAGTGAGACTCCATCTCAAAAAAAAAAAAAAAAAAAATTCTCTACTAAAAATACAAAAATTTGCCCGGTGTGGTAGTGTGTGCCTGTAATCCCAGCTACTTGGGAGACTGAGGCAGAAGAATTGCTTGAACCCGGGAGATGGAAGTTGCAGTGGACCGAGATTGTGCCACTGCACTCCAGCTTGGGTGACAGAGCAAGACTCTGTCTCAAAAAATAGAAAAATAAAGATATTGATAAATTTCTCTCATCCAGATGCACCTCTTCTGAGTCACTATTCATCTTTCTTATGATTTTCTCCTCATTATCATCTTCTCTGTTAACCAGAAGCTTTGGTGATATTTCATTTCTTGTGAGATTCCTACGCAACACTCTGTGAGATTATCTTTCCAACCTGCTGACAGCTCCTCTGCAAGTTTTGTGTTGATGACATTAAAAGAAGGTGTCAATGGAAGGTTTCTAGGACAGGTTCATGTGCATTCATATAAGGACAACCACAAAAAGTCTGCATTTTGACCAATAGTGTTTTGACACTATCAATTTTAAGAAGCATTTTGTCTTAGTTCATTTGTATCGCTAGGAAGGAATACTTGAGTCTGGGTAATTTATAAAGAAAAGAAATTTATTTAGCTCACAGTTCTATGGACTGTAAAAGAAGCATGGCACCAATACTTTCTTCTGACTGGGGTCTCAAGCTGGTTCTACTCATGACAGAAAGAAAAGGGGAGCTTGTGTGTGCAGAGATCACATGGTGAGAGAGGAAGCAAGAGAGGGGGCAAATGTTGGGCTCTTTTCAGCAACCAGCTCTCCTCGAAATTAGCAGAGTAAGTACTCACTCATTGCCATGAGAACAATACCAAGCCATTCTTGAGGGATTTCCCCCAAAACTCAAGCACCTCCTATCAGATCCTACTTCCAACACTGGGGATCAATTTATAACAGGAGGTCTGGGGGGCCAAAGATCTAAACCATAGTACATATGTGTTTGAAAGATGTGAAAATATGTACTCTAGCAATAATGGAACACACTATATTTTTTCTGTGACTGCTCACTTCACAGTGTGATATCATAGTGACTTGTCTGCTGAATTCTGGTCTATTATTATTATTATTTAAGAGATAGGGTCTTGCTGTATTACCTTGGCTGGAATGTAGTGGTGTGATCATATCTCACAGCAGCTTCCAATGCCTGGTCTCAAGGGATCCTTTTGCTTTAGCCTCCTGAGTAGCTGGGACTATAGGCATGTGCCACCATGCCCAGCCACTTTGGAAAAAAATTTTGTTTTTTTGTAGAGTTGGGGTCTTGCTGTGTTGCCTAGGCTGGTCTTGAACTCCTGACAATCCTCCCACCTCAGCTTTCCAAATTCCTCCGATTATAGGCATGAATCACCATGCCTAGCCAAGAAGATTTTTTTCTTTTTCTTTTTCTTTTTTTTTTTCTTTCTTTTTTTTTTTGGAGATGAAATTTTGCTCTTTTTGCCCAGGCTGGAGTGTAATGGCATGATCTTGGCTCAGGCTCACCGCAACCTCCACCTCCCGGGTTCAAGTGATTCTCCTGCCTCAGCCTCCTGAGTAGCTGGGATTACAGGCGCACACCACCATGCCTGGCTAATTTTTGTGTTTTTTAGCAGAGACGGGGTTTCACTATGTTGGTCAGGCTGGTCTGATCTGCCCGCCTAGGCCTCCCAAAGTGCTGGGATTATAGGCGTGAGCCACCGCGTCTGGCTCAAGAAGACTTTTTCAAACATAATTTTATATAAATTAGCCCATTTCATTTACCTTCTACCTAGCTATATGTGAGATTATTAGAGTACTGTTGTAATTTCTACTTTACATGATTTTAATTTTTATAATTTTATAGTTTTATGTTGCCTCAGCATCTATTTTGAATTATGTTTATCTTGGTCATACCAGAAGCAGGACTTAACACGTTTCACACATTTTCCAGTTCTCTAATCCCTCCCACTTTCTTTATGCAGTTGTTGTAGATACAGACTTTATACAGCCACTCCTTATGAGATAGCTAGATGAAGCATCTGACTTTGCCCCCTGACCATCCATATCTCATGTGGGCTGTGTGAATATGCCACAGTGACCACCTCTTTGTCCCAGTGTGACTCTATAGGATTCATGCTTGCTTCCTGTAAACCCAGCAGTTAGAACCCCCTGTGAGAAGGTTGCTTGAATAACACACTGGACCCCAATAAAGGCCTCAGCTATGGGCCCCTCTCTCAGCCGTGTGAGTGTGTGTCCAGAATGGCTCCCCCTTTGGCCATCTGAGGCATTCTGCTCTGCTCTCTCTGGGATCTGTAAGTAATGCACTGAATCTGTTATTTCATGTGTTTTGTTGAGTTGACTCCTCTATGTCTCATTCGACTAATATACCTGAATTTTTTTCAAGTCAGGACTTTCCCAGAGACTGGTTATTTTAGTAGAAGTAAACCAGATGCAGTTCAGAGCCACAAGGTTGTTTTCCAGTATAAACACATTTTCTGTGAGAGGAACCCCTGGTCATGGGTCACACACTTATGCATTTGGCTATCTAACAGAATATATAGAGGCACATTTTAAACACTTATGACCAAATTCTATCAATTCTCATTGGGCTAGGTTAGCATTACATTGTCCGGAGGAATACCTGAAGAGTAAAATAGAAATAAGAAAAATAGAGCATATTAATATATTATCTTTGTATTAAACTACAGAGATAATTTTATAAGCAATGGTTCAGGAAATCCATTAAGGGGGAAGGTAGAAATGGCAAAGAGGTAGTTCAATGTTTGTGCTGGAGTTGTAGTATTCTGTAGAGTTAGAAAAAAATGTAATTGAGAATTTCTGCCCTAATATTAGAAATAAGAGCAATTTTCCCTGTAATCTGCCTTCTAAATCCAGTGCTTCATTCCAGAACAACTGTGTATCTAATTTTCTCCCATTCTACTTTCTAATTCTGTGGACGGTGATCATACAAACCCCTTTTGATAAGTCACTGCAGAGGAAGATGCTTCACGGTTTTCACAAAATGTTTTGCTTGCTTACTTGTTACTGTGGTCAACCCTACTTGTGGGTACCTGAAAAATGGAGTGGGTTTTGGTTATTTATTTATTTATTTTGAGACAGAATTTTGCTCTTGTTGCCCAGGCTGGAGGGCAATGGCACGATCTTGGCTCACTGCAACCTCCGCCTCCCGAGTTCAAGCGATTCTCCTGCCTCAGCCTCCTGAGTAGCTAAGATTACAGGCATGTGCCACCACGCCTGGCTAATTTTGTATTTTTAGTAGAGATGGGGTTTCTCCATGTTGGTCAGGCTGGCCTCGAACTCCCAACCTCAGGTGATCCGCCCGCCTTGGCCTCCCAAAGTACTGGGATTACAGGTGTGGGACACTGTGCTGGGCCTGGGTTTTGGTATTCTTTGATGAATATGTTGAATAAAGAAGAAACACATATAATTTAGAATGTTGTTTGTATTCGAAAATAGACTTTCAGTTTCCAGGAAGGCTCAATAAAATTAACACCAATATCTGATGTAATATATGTTAGTCATGCATTCTTTGAATTCTAATTTCTTCTATTCAGGCTTGAATGTGGAGAAAGGGCATTGGGTTATGGCCTCACCATGTGCTCTGCATTTGGGATGTTTGCAATGGCATCTTTCTGAGAATTCTGGTAGAGTCTAACTTCAGTGAAATCTGGTTATAGGTTGCTTAGTAGGTTTTGGGAAACCATGTCTTCCATTCCATGAGAGAGTTATGTTTGGGAACTCGGTGCTCAGCACAGTGTCCTCTGTGCCTGTGACATCACGTTAGCACAGTCCTATATGTATCACCAGTCTTCTCCTGCTCTGGGCACTTGGAGCTCATTGACCCTCTTGTCATTTGAGATGGGTCCCTTTTGTCCATATGTACTTATGTCTCTTTCATGGCTTGCCATTCTCTTCCCCCAGCTTTTAGGAAGAATTTGGTGATCTATATGTTGTTCCCAGTATAAATCATGATAGACTGTAATGTGTGCATTGAAATGAAGATGAAAAGTGAATTTGACAAGACATTTCTCTGTTAGCAGAACTCCCATTATAATAAAATAAATGGAAGAAAAATCCATGTTTTAAGATGACAAATTCAAATAAGCCTGCTTTTTTTATGGAAGGAAGTATGAACTCAGAGGAGTGCAAAGTTTTCTTTTCTTTTTTCTTTTTCTTTTTTTTGGGGGGGGGACAGAATCTTGCTGTGTCATCAGGCTGGAGTGCGGTGGCACGATCTCGGCTCACTGCAACCTCCGACTCCCTGGTTCAAGCTACTCTCCTGCCTCAGCCTCCTGAGTAGCTGGGATTACAGGCACACGCCACCACGCCCAGCTAATTTTTGTATTTTTAGTAGAGACAGTGTTTCACCGTGTTGGCCAGGATGGTCTCGATCTCCTGACCTCGTGATCCACCCGCCTCGGCCTCACAAAGTGCTGGGATTACAGGCGTGAGCCACCGCACCCAGCCAAAGTTTTCTTAATTTGCAAATGCACAAAATAACAGCCCTTAAGTTAACTGTTCTTTTAATCTCAGAAGTGAGAAATGTGGTCAGGTCAACTGTATCTCTCACTTCAGACCTCCAAGCCTGCAGAAGCCAGTCTCCTCACTGAAGCTATGAATGTTGTGTGGAGGATGATAATGATCTGAAAAAGAAAAAGAATCTGGACTTCGTGGATGTCTATGTGAGTGCAGTATGCATTCTCATGTCACTGTAGGCTTTGTAGACATGGTTCTTGGACAAAACCCTGGTGCTACCCAGCACAGTGCTGTGGTCTGTGAATAGGCAGCTGTGCAGGGGATGAGTGGACAGTTCTATCCACTATGGGGATTCTTTGTTTAGCCAGCACATATGCAGAGTCACCATTCAGCCTGTGTCTATCTCATGTATCACTGCAGGAATGTTGAAGATGTGTTGTATCGGGTTGTTGTATTTTTGTCTTTCTTTTTTTCTGCTAGGCTTTCTTCACCTGTGCACAACACATTCTGAATAAGTTACTAGCCTGCACCTGCCAAAAATCAAAAGGTTAATTTTAACCTTTAAGCAGTTTGGTTGTAAATACGGAGTGGCTTTAACCAATAGGTTTATAAACATTTTTTTTTTTTTTACACAGCTCACCTATGACCATGACAATATCTATTCTGTGGCTTTTAGGCTTGCAATGGGCAACAAAATTCTACAGTGTAATTGTCAACAGAATACGTGGTCAATTCCTGATGGAGTCTGTAGGGTCAGTAGAATGAAAAGAGCTTAATTATCACAGGATGCCCTGAGAAACTTGAAGGTACAGTTGTCATTTGAAAATTAAATAATTCTTGTAATAAGGAAATGCTATCTGTATTAGGCCATTTGCATTGTTTTAAAAAATACCTGAGGCTGGATAATTCATAAAGAAAAGAGGTTTAACTGGTTCCCTATTCTGTAGGGCTGTATAAGCATGGCACCAACATCTGCTTGGCTTCTGGGGAGGTGCAGGAAGCTTGTACTCGTGGGGGAAGGTGAAGCAGGAGCAGGTGTTTTTTATAGCAAGAGCAGAAGGAAGGAAGAGAAGAAGGGTAGGTCCAGGACTTTTAAGCAGCCAGATCTTGGGTGAGCTAACTAACTCAGTGAAAACTCACTTATCACGAAGGGATAGTGCTAAAGAATCATGAGAGATCACCTCCCACCAGGCCCCACCTCCAACATTGGGAATCACGTTTCAACTTGAGATTTGGAGAGGACAAACATCCAAACCATATCACTCTCCAAAGAATCATGAGGGATCACCTCCCACCAGGCCCCACCTCCAACATTGGGAATCACATTTCAACTTGAGATTTGGAGAGGACAAACATCCAAACCATATCACTCTCCTAGATGAAGAAATATGGTTTATGTTCCCTGTCATTGATATTTCTCATTCTTGGTTTTGAGTGTCCACATGTCATATCATCCAAAATGGCTTTAGTGGGATCCTGCAGATAACAGTGCCATAGGATGTTTGAATATGGGCTTTCTGTGATATATGAGACATAGGAACCTATCTTTTAAGAAGTGGTTACTGACACTGAAAGTGGTGACTGAAGAAAAAGAGTATAAAAAGGGAGAAAGGGGAATAAGGCAAAGGAGAAGGGTCCCTGGAGCTTGATGGTGTCTTTCTTAAGTAGGTGCCCAGGAGTTTAGAATCGTGAATAAATAAGGAAGCTGCTTTTTCATACACTCCCATGTGTCCATTCATCACCTGAGCCAAAGGTCACTTGTTTATGTCTGTGTTTGGATTGTTTCTTTTTTCTGTACCAAAATAATACTTTTTAAACAACACTTTAATTACAAAATAATTTAAGAATATACAAGAATCCCAGACTTCTCAATAACAGGACTACAAACAACAACGTAGAAAATAAGCAAGGGGGCCAGGTGCGGTGGCTCATGTCTGTAATCGCAGCACTTTGGAAGGCTGAGGCAGGCGGATCACCTGAGGTCAGGAGTTCAAGACCAGCCTGGCCAACATGGAGAAACCCGCCTCTAATAAAAATACAGCTGGGCATGGTGGCACGTGACTGTAGTCCCAGCTACTCAGGAGGCTGAGGCAGAAGAATCACTTGAACATGGGAGGCGGAGGTTGCAGTGAGCCGAGATCGCGCCACTGCACTCCAGCCTAGGCGACAGAGCTAGACTCTGTCTCCAAAAGAAAAAAAAAAAAAAAAAAACTGAGCAAAGGGCCAGGTGTAGTGACTCACCCTTATTATCCTAGCACTTCGAGAGGCCTGGGAAGGAGGATCGCTTGAGCCCAAGAATTCAAGACCTGCCTGAGCAACATAGCAAGACCCCATCTCTACAACAAATACAAAAATTAGCCAGGCATAGTGGTACTCACCTGCAGTCCAGCTACTCAGGAGGCTGAGGTGAGACGATTGCTTGATCCCAGGAGGTTGAGGCTGGTGAACCATAATTGTGCCACGGCACTCCAGCCTGGACAACAGAACAAGACTCAGTATTAAAAACATAGGCAAAGGACCTAAACAAACATTTCCCTAACGAAGGAATAAAAATGGCCAAACAATATATGAAAAACTGCTCAACATTTTTAATAACTGGATAAGTGCAAATTAAAATTACAGTGAGTATCACTTCACACCTGATACATTGGCTATTGTCAGAAAGATGAAACATAACAAGCGTTGGTGAGGGTGTGGAGAAAGGCAACCATTTTGCTCTGTTGGTGACATTGCAAAATAGTGCAGCTGTTTTGGAAGAAAACATGGAGGTTCCTCAAAACACAAAAAATAGTATTATCATATGATGAAGCAATTCAATGTCTGGGTATGTGCCAAAATGAATTGAAATCAGTGTGTTGAAGAGTCCTTTCCACTTCCCTGTCTATTCCAGCATTAGTCACTGTTGCCAGGTTATGGAAACTCCTAAAGTGACTATCAATGGGATGAAAGTTTTTAAAAATGTGGCATATATACACAATGGACTACTATTTGGTTTACAAAAACAAACAAAAATCTGTCATTTGCAACAACATGGACGAACCTAGAGAAAATTATGCTGAGGAAACAAGCCAAGAACAGAGTGACAAATACTATATGATCTCACTTATATGTGGAATCTGAACAGCCCTCTACTCTTGACTAGGGACAGCACATGTAGCTTGCTTTGAAACAGCAGATACTGCAAAGGTAATAGGTTGTCACTTGGCTGACTATAAGACATACTTGTGATTTCTGTTTTACTAGCAAATTTTATCTCTTGATGGCTTTGATGCAGTGTTTGGCCACGTGGGAAATGCCAGCATGGGAAGGAATTGAATGTAGGCTGGGTCCAATGACCAGAAAGTATCTAAGGCTCTTGATTCAATAACCATTCCTAGAATTTGCGATATTATTTACAACTAACCCAAGCCTCTTTCAAATAACACTATATTGCTATACAGGGAGTGTAAGTACTGTATAATAACAAAAGAATACTAATTTATCCCTCCCAGATCTTATGTTATTGCTAACAAAAGAATACTAATTTATCCCTCCCAGATCTTATGTTATTGCTAATAAAAGAATACTAATTTATCCCTCCCAGATCTTGTGTTATTGCTATCATTGTAACACTTTATACTCTGAGACACATGAAAAAATTATCCGGTTTGTAGTGAAATATCAAGGAACAGGTAAGAGGATGTGCAGACCCAGAAGTATGAACCTGTGTATGTCCTGCGGAAAACATCCACTGAACCAAGGCCCAGTCCTTCCATGGCCTGCTCTTCCTGCTCCAGGACTTTTCACATATTATTATTTCTAGAGGACATTTAAATCCCCTGCTCTCTTCTCATGTCTTTGTCTGTGCCATGGACACACTGTTTCCTCTTTCCTTTCCCTCCCCTGTTTGCTGGACTCACTGCTCCTCATCCTCCAGAATCTCCTCCAATGCTCCTCCTGCTGGAGGCCTCTCTTGCCCATCCCATTCCAGGTCTGATGCCTGTCCTCTCAGTTCCCAATGGCAACTCTTCCACCTGCAATTTCGTTTCCGTTGAGTTTTCTGAATCTCCACTGAACTGATATATCAAAGAAGAGGAAATCTTTGTCTATGTTGTTCCCCCGTGAGCCCCACCCATGTAATGGACAAAGAGCAACATAAAAGATTTTCCTTTATGTTGATTTTCCCAAAGAAATTAATGAATCTCTCAAACTCTTCACCTATATTCTTGTCTGCTTCCCAAGAAACTAACTTTCTTTCAATCTGAAGAGAGTTTGAGCTTGAAAATGAACCTGTTTCTTGTGCTCTTCTCTGTTCTCAGGACAGGATGTGAGCCCTGACTCCCCTCAGCCTCTTCTCCAGCCTCCTCATCCTCAATCCACTGTAGAGTCCCTCCCATGGGCCATGCTGTTTCTATCATATCTGCCCCTTTCTGTCCTTCTGAATTGCATTGCCCTCTTGGACCAGTGAAAATCTTGTTATTTTCCAAATTTCAGCTCTATTAATAGGGCTCCCTTGATAAATATTTCAAAATCTCTATTGGTTACACTATTCCATCAATTTGATCTTTTTTCAAGTTTTACCACAATTGCATTAATCTGGTAGAAGCCATGACATGCTTTTCATTTTCCATACATGGATGAACTAGTCCTGAAATCTGATCTGCTGTCACCTTCAGGTAGGATCACCTGCACCCACACTTGTAGAATGTGTATGAACAGGAAAGATGGAAATTACACAGGGAATAGTACAGCCTCTTTTATGAAGAAGTGTTTTATTGCCATCAGTCTTCATGACACAGAGGGTGATATAAAGATTTCCATGACTCTGGGTCAATATTTGATTTAGAATATATAGACTCAGAATATCAAGATATTTGTGAATTATTTATATATTACTTCCAATATTGCTTTCACTTTATGTGAATAAATCTTGTGCCTGCATAATTATATGAGAGTTTTGTTGTAGTCATAAAATAAGGCTAAGAAGTGTATAATAGATTCATTGTCAGAGATATTATCCTTTCTTTTAGATCCTCAAGTCTTTGAGTTATTGACATACAGTGGAGACTTTGGCAGACACTGTGTGGGTAGACCATTTCTTCCCTTCTCTTTAGAGTTCCAAATACCTGTTTACTTTTCTGTCTTTCTCTGTGAGTTTGAATTACATTGTTACTTACTCACTTTAATATTGACAACTTGAAGGTACAGTAATAATTTAGCAATTGCAGGAGGAATGAATCAAGATATGGAAACACTAATAGAAATTTGATATGCCTCACCACATGCAAAAAAGAAAAAAATCAACACAGTATATTAAACAATGATTTGCAAGACATTGTACATGAAACGATGAAGAGCAGTGATAGCTGAGAGATGTTGAACATGATGTGAACCCTCATATTGCTCCAGCTTTGTGCTTCCAGGGGATTTTCAGTCTACGGCGTGGCAATAACCTTGGCTGACTTTCTGAGTTAAGAAGATGGAACGGCGATTCTGGAAGAACACTTTGACCCAATTTCATCAAGCCATTCTCCACATCCAGTGCTAAGTATGGGGAGAGAGTAAACATGCCCACTTCCATGCATTTAGGTTTGCCACGTGCCACCCTTATTCTATGGAGACATGGTCACAGAACTATGGGAACAGTTCGGAAGGAAAACCCAGTACCAGGAGAAGCCATTTAGTGAACCTGGCCTTCAATCCTTTTGATTTATCCCTGTCTGCAAAACAAACAAACAAACAAACAAACTCCAAAACAAAAACAGAGGCCTGTATATGATAAGGCCATTTTGCAAGAAGCCCAGGGATGAATGCACTCTCTGTTTCTGAGACGAAGTCTAGCTCTGTCGGCCAGGCTAGAGTGCGGCGGTGCAATCTCGGCTCACTGCAACCACTACCTCCTTGGTTCAAGCGATTCTTCTGCCTCAGTATCCTGAGGGCTGGGATTACAGGCATGTGCCACTATGCCCAGCTAATTTTTGTATTTTTAGTAGAGACAGGGTTTCATCATATTGGTCAGGCTGGTCTCGAACTCCTGACGTTGTGATCTGCCCTCCTTGGCCTCGCAAAGTGCTGGGATTACAGGTGTGAGCCACCACACTTGGCAAATTTTTTATATTTTTGGTAGAGATGGGGTTTCACCACATTGACTAGACTGGTCTTGAACTCCTGACCTCAAGTGATTGGCCACCTCAGCCTCACAAAGTGCTGGGATTACAGGCATGAGCCACTACACCCCGTCAAACGGACGCTCTTTAGAGATGAAGAAAATTATGCACCTAAGTAGGCTTCACCACCACATGTGGAACTACCCCTTTTTCCTATGGTATTTTGTATGTGTGAGTGATAGATTTACAGCATTGTAGAGTAATTCAAGTAGAAGTTTTTACTTACAGTGCAAATAACAATTATCATCAAGAGAAGAAATCAGTAAGGTTAACCACCTCTATTTGTTTCTCCAGAACACCTCCAGTTTCCTTTAAATTTGGGAATCATCTTCTCTTTACATTTCACAACATAATTCCACAGTCTATGTTGTTTGTATGGAGTATAGGGTTGCTCTTCATATACAGTGAAATTATGAATAATGGTGTCAGGTTCTAATACAAAAATAGAGTGAAGATGAATGCTTGGCTTTTTATTTAGGTTTTCTTTTTAACCAAAATCTGGCCTTGACATTATCTTGAAACATACAGCATTGACTCCCAGAGCTCCTGACTGCAGACTTACCAGGTGAAACAAATGTGCATCTATTAATCTGAACTAAAACTACCTACAAAGTGTCAATGTTCTTGGTCTGTTGGTTGCTAACATTTCAGGAATCTTTAACAAATCCCCTCCCCAATAGTTTCTAGACCATTAGATTGAGGATTTTTTAAAAACCTGTATTTTAATTTTAAGGGTACATGTATAGGTTTGTTATATTGGTAAACTGCATGTCACAGGTGTTTTGTGTACAGACTATTTTGTCACTCAGGTAAGAAGCATGCTACATGATTGGTAGTTATTTGATCATCACCATCCTCCCACCCTCCACGCTCAGGTAAGAACTCATGTCTGTTGTTTCTTTCTGTGTGTCCATCTTCACTCAATATTTGGCTCCCACTTGTAAGTGAGAACATGCAGTATTTGTTTCTCTGTTTCTGTGTTACTCTGCTTGGGATAATGGCCTCTGGCTCCATCCATGTTGCTGCAAAGGACATGATCTCATTCTTTTTTATGGCTGCATAGTATTCCATGGTATATATGTGGCACATTTTCTTCATCCAGTCTACTGTTGATGGGCATTTAGGTTGATTCCATGTCTTTGCTACTGTGAATAGTGCTGTGATAAACATATGCGTGCATGTGTCTTTATGGCAGAAACATTTGTATTCCTTTGGGTAGATAACAAATAATGGGATTGCTGAGCTGAATGGCAATTCTGTTTTAAGTTCTTTGAGAAATCACCAAACTGCTTTCCATGCTGGCTGAAGTAATTTACATTCACACCAGCTGTGCCAGAGAGGTTGATGTGTTCCTGGACCACTAGCCACAATATTTCAATAGGTGGTGCCAGCCAAAGCGCTTTTAGGGATGGTGGCAGTGGAATGTGTTCATTTGCACATGCCAGCAGCAGTGGCAGTGTGCTGGGGTGCATTCATGTTGGCTGGGGTGCAGTATCATCAGAGTGCTGTTTCAGTGTTCTTGCTCACACTCACACCAGTAGAAGTGGGGCACTATATCACACTGCTGGCAGGCACAGGGCTGCCAGCCTCTGAGCGTGTGTTTGCAGTGGTGGCAGTTTTTGGCATCTGTACATGTGTTCATGCTAGTGGTGGCACAGAGAGAGGCACCAGGCCTTGGCATTCATATGTGTGTTCACAATGGTGGCAATGTTGGCACAGAGGGGATGGGGTTGCTGGTCTCCATGTGCCCATTTGGGTCTGCAATGGCAGTGTGGCGTAAGGGATGGTGGATTCGGCTCCACTTACACTGGCAAAATTTGCACAGTGGGTTGCACCTGCACACGCATACTGGATAGGTAGGGGAGGTGAGGTCTGTGTGCACATGCCCACAAAGCAGCAGGGCTGTGGCCATGGGCAATTGAGCCCTGTCAAAGTGGCATGAGGGAGGCTGCAGTAGAGGGAGAGTGCTGGTGGGCTGGCATGCATTGGTGGGGGCCGCTCTGCTGGAGCTCTCTAACAGGCATGGTCTGCTGATGAAGGATCAGGCTCCCAGGAAGCACCCCAGTTGGGCATCTGAGGCTGCACTGCAAGTGGGCATGGCCAGCCTGGGGACCTGGGGGAGGCCAGCAGACAAAGAGGGAGTCCAGATCAGACTGGCCCTGCCTCATGAGCAAGACCACCCTGCTCCATCCAGGTCCGACAGTCTCCTTAAGGCTAAAGTTTCCTAGAGCTGCATGGTGAGGCTTCGGGGACTGGCATCCCTGGCCATGCTCCACTGCAGACATTCCCTCATCAAAGCCTCTGGGCTCCACACAGGCTGGAGTCCTGCCCCTCCGACCTCTCTAAGACGCTTTCTCTGCTAGCTCCAGTGTCCAAGGGGGTCGTGGGGTCTCCAGCTGCCAGGATTCCAGAGGCCCATGGTGAAAGTGCCTTGCTCCGTTCCTGTTCAACTCACCCCTTCCCCAAGAGTTGAGTTATTGGGAGTCAGAAAAGAGTCCCAGGGCATGGCAGCCCTGTGTGAGATTTCCAGCTTCCTTTCCCTTCAGCCCAGCATCTGTATTCTCCCTCTGTTCACTCTCAATGCCTTCTCTCTGAAGATCTGCTCAGAGTGTGCCAGTATTCCTGACGTGCTTATCTCTCAGAGGCAGAAGTTTCTCCTGGCGCGTCTAGTCAGCCATCTTGAATTCAACTACAGAATTTTTTTACTTGCATAGCAAATAGATGCTACTGAGTCTGAGATCTACCTTGTGGGAATGGTCCTTTCACTAGTGAATGTTTTCCTTTCACTAGTGAAAGGAATTTGCTGTCATTAGTGCCCTCCATGTTGTAAACTTTAAATTAAGGAAACCTATTCTTAATTGTTAGAGTCCTGAACTGTTTCTGTCCTCTTCTTACTTTTGTGTTTCTTATTGGTTACCGGTGGGAAAATTCCTACTTAATGCATGTCAAGGAATCCCATCTTCACTATCCAGGACACTCAGCAAATCTATTCACATACAAATTATATCAGAAGAGTGTCAAAAGTTTAGCCTAAAATAATAAACATCAGACCAGTTAAATAATCGAAGGATGGGAAAATTATTGACTGAGCCAATGCAAACAAAAATCTAAAAAACTCATAAGCATGAAAACCTTTAAAAATATTTTGCTAGGAGATGACCAAAAAAAAAAAATAAGTAAAGATGGCAATTCCCTTTCTACAAGAATTTGTGCTTCCTGGAGATGTATTTACAGATTTCTTGAGTTACATTTATTATTTTACTGAAAACTGTAAACAGTTTTAGTAGTAACTCACTGAATTGCAAGAAAACTATAGATATTTATATTATGGTCCATGTGTACAAGGAAATTACATGCATACATTTACAACAAGTTAGAAGGAATCAAAGACTTCAGCCATGTCTATAGCTTTTGGATAAAGAGTAACAGTATGATATTTATGCTTGCTCAGTGACAAAATGGCTATTCTTTGCATTCAGAATTGAAGATTCAGTATTCTGCCTGTATAAACTAATGCCTTGTGCATCTTCCACAATTATAACAAACTAAGCCATATAATGAAAACAATCATACCTCCTTTTTCAGCATTTAATTCTGAACAAATTTTGTCCTGTGGCTGTGAAAAAAGTCTCTGTTCTCCTTTTCAACCAGAGGTACTTCAGTGGAAATTCCTGGAAAACACGGAAAAAGGGTGTGTAGCATCTGCTTTTCCCAATAAAAGTCATATTCCTATTCTATTTAGGAAAATTTTATGACTGAAAAGATGAAAATAATTGAAAAGGTTTTATGAAAAATGGGTATAAGTGCATTATTAAATACAATAATGAAATTAATACACAAGACAAAAATATGAATTTGGTTGCAGAAATTGTTATGTGACCAAAACAAATAAAAATTAATACAAAGTGTTGAAAACTGTGTGCCAAAGCAAAAGCAAGAACAAACATTATCAGACAAGGTCTGAAGGGTAATTATCCTTGGTCAGCAAGCTCAGTCATTGTTGAACAAACTCATTCTTTATTAAAAACAGAATGAATACCCAAACAGATCACTTAGGGAGTGTTGGGAGCAGCTGGTTTTGCCCATGCAGGCCTCACAGAGAGCCCTCAGCTCAGCTTTGCCTGCCACAGCCAGGACTTTGATGGGTCATGGTCCAGAGGAGTAAGACCAAGTCCACTGAGGCTCATCCACATGAGCGGGATGCACCCAGGGATGACTCTCCAAGCTCCTGCCAATGTTTCTAAGGATAGAGAAAGCCCAGAGTGGTGGAAGAGAAGGCACAAAATCACATAAAATTCACTGATTTGTTACTGAAAAATAAAGTGGTAGTGAAGTTGGTTGGGGTTGTCTGAGAGTCACAAAGACGTTAGAGACATTAGTGTCAACAGTCATGTTCTGAAGTCTTAAACTCTATTGAAACAAAACAAAACAAAACAAAGTACACCTGGTATTTTTGGTTGGGGTGCAAGGAATGCAGGATCCTACTCTTTCATTTCTTCATTCTAGAACAGCACAGTGATGAAGAGAATGGACTCTGGAGGGAAAATTCTTGTGTAAAATGAAGTCTCTCAGTAACTGAGTTACTTTAGTATTCGCAGAAAAATACAGAAATAAACAAATGAAAAAAGAAAGCTCAAAAAAGGACAAAAGAATATGTAAGAAAAATAGTGTAAAGAAAGATAAATAGGGAATATTGATTTTTCAATATATGTTCCAAAAAATTAAATATCCGTAGGAGAAAATAAAATAGACATTTGATCTCACATTTCAAAATTAATCAATTCCAGATGGATCACTGACCTAGATATATATATATTTTGTGACAGAGCCTCGCTCTGTCACCCAAGCTGGCATGCAGTGGTACAATCTCAGCTCACTGCAACCTCTGCCTCCCAGGATCAAATGATTCTCCTGCCTCAGCCTCCTGAGTATCTGGAATTACAGGTGCACGCCACCATGCCTAATTTTTTTATTTTTAGTAGAGATGGGTTTCACCATGTTGGTCAGGCTGGTCTCGAACTCCTGACCTTATGATCTGCCTACCTTGGCCTCCCAAAGTGCTGGGATTATAGGCGTGAGCCAACGTGCCTGGCCGGACCTAGATATTTTTTTAAAAAAAATTAGTACGGTATTTAGGACCTAATTTAGGAGAATAGCTTCATGACCATGGGGTATATAAGATTTCTGAAACTAGATCTAGAAGGTTCTTATCACAAAATATATCGTAACATAGCTAATGTGAGCAAGGACTCTGGAGACAGACCCAGTCAAGCTCCAGCATCTCCTATTTTTTACTGAAGTGCTTTAGCTAAGATTCAGAACTGGAGCATGGAAGTGATAATATTGCCTACCTCTTGGGATGTTGTGAGGTTTAAAGGAACTAGTAATACATAGAGCACATAGACTAATGCAGGTCTATACTAACAACTAAATTAGAATTTGCTAATACTGACAGCTTTTCCTAAGTAATTACAAGATGCATCATTGGTAAAATGCACCATTATTTTTTTGCCACAAAAAATAAAACCACTGAAAAACTGTGACACAAATATTTATTATCACTTAGAATTTTTATATTATTATTGATTACAATTTTATTGAACTTAAATAAATGTGGAAAAGGGAATCCCTGTGGGTGGGAATGCAAATTAGTACAGCCATTGTGGAAAAAAAAATGAAGGTTTCAAAAAACTAAAAATAGAACTACCATATTATCCAGCTATTCCACTTCTGGGAATATATACACAGGAAGTGAATTCAACATGTTATTTATCTTATATCACTCCTATGAGTACATGAGATGAAAAATTAAAACAGGATACATTAACAGAGATAATCCTAAAATAGCTCTCATGAGATCAAACTCTTCTGAATCACTTCTCAACTCACCGTTTTCATGACTTTCCTCAAATTATCATCACCTGTGCTTATCATAAGCTTTGGCTTTGCCTCATATCTTTAGAGAGTTCTGTATTATCCTCTGTGAGATTATATTTGTAACCTACTGACAGCTACTCTAAAAGTTTTGATGATAATGATATTATCAGAGGGTGACAATAATAGGTTTCTAGACCAACTTCATGCCTGTGCACAAGATGGCAACCGTATCATGCTGTCTGGCCAGTCATTTTCTTACAATACCCATATTAAAACACAACCCTTTGAAAAATGTGGAAGTGTGCACTTTAACATTAATGGAATACACCTTTTCCCACTGTGACCATCCATTTATCAGTGTTAAATCAGGGTGACTCTTCAGCTATATTCTGATTGGTTATTGATGAAATAAGCTTAAGCATATTTTCATGTAAGTTGACCAACTCCATTTTTCTTCTACCTACCTATTATAGATATTAGACTTACTAGTGGACTACTGGAATTCCTATTTTAAGTGTGAAGAGGTAATTTTGTAAACTGTGGCTTAAGAAACCCATCGAGGAACTGGCTGGGTGCAGTGGCATGCATCTGCGGTCCCAACTACTTGGGAGGCTGAGGAGGTAAGGTCACCTGAGCTTGGGAAGTCAAGGCTGCAGTGAACTGTAATTGTGCCACTGAATTCCAGCCTGGGTGACAGAGTGAGACCCTGACTCAAAAAGAAAAGAAAAGAAAAGAAATCAATTGAGAAGGAGATATAAATTCAAAATTTACTTGAAGTTTGCGCTGCAGCAGTAGCACTCTAAAGACTTGGAAAAAGGTGTGTCTTGAGAATTTCTGCCATAGAAATATGAGCAATGCTCCCTGTAAGCTACATTCCACCCTCAATTCTTTAATCCTTAATCTTTGTATATCTATCTCTCTTCTTCTCTACCACTGATCTTTCTAACCATGTGGATGGTGATTATACAAATCACTTCATGATAAGTCACTGCAGAATAAGATTCGTTACGGTTTTCATAAAATATTTTGCTCTGCTTCCTTGTTACTCTGGTCAACTCTGCTTTTGGATACTGATATTGAAATGGGTTTTGGTGTCCCCTATTGTACACATTGGGTGAGGGAAAAACACATACAACTTATGATTAAGGATGTTGAATGAATTTACACCTAGATTTTCTGTCTCCAGGAAGGCACAATTAAATGGACAAGAAGCCCTGAGCTCAATGTATGAGCCATCCATCCACTGGAATTTATCTTCTGTTTAAGCTGCACTGTGAAGACAGGGTGGTGGATTCTTGCCTAATGTGGTTCAAGACTTTGGAACATTGGCAATGTCATCTTTCAAGACTTCTGATGGCAAGGTCAAGTGTTTGTGAAATCTGATGGTTTAGTAAATTGTAGAAAATAATATCTTCTATGCTATTACAGAGCAACGTTTAGGGACTCGGTGCTCAGCACTGTGTCCTCTGTGCCTGTGACATCATGTTAGCACAGTCATCTATGTATCAACAGTCCTCTCCTACAGTGAGCACTTGGAGCTCATCGACTGTCTTGTCATTTGAGATGGGTCCCTCCTTGTCCTCATCTATGGCTTGTTTATTACAATTACTCTTCCCTTTATTATTATTTTTCTGGAAGATGAGGAATTTAAATGAATTTGTTTTTCCTGAAGGAGTGAAATGTGAGCTTGGAGAAGTGAGAAGCTTTCTTGGCTTACAAAAGTCAAACTAAAAAGTACCCAAGAATATGCTACTCTGATGACAGAAGTGAGAAACACGGTCCAGGTCAGCTGTATCTGTCACCCCAGATCTCAAGATCCCAGGAGCCGTTCTCTCATGGAAGCTTTGAACCAGGTAGAGAAAATATACTCCATGATTACAGACCATAAAAGAAGAGTCTTGGCTGTGTGGATGTCTACGAGAGAGCAGTTTGCAGCTCCACGGCTTTGTAAGTGCTGTAGGCACGGCTCCTGGAACCTCTGCTGCTGCTCAGCAGAGTGCTGTGGTTGTGATAGGGAAATCTCTCTCTCTGTGTGTGTGTGTGTTTCTGTAGTAACTGGCAAGCTGTTTCTAAAATTTAAATAAAAATCCATGAGATCCAGAACAGCCAAAATAATCTTGAAAAAAAAAAAAGTTGGATTATCAGATTTCAATACCTAATGCAAAGTGACAAACTGGTAGTAATCAAGGGATTTTGGTACTAGTATAGGTGATGGCATTGGCTGCCACTGTGGGGAAGCCAGCTGCCGGTGGGGAGGTGCCGCTGGGGCTGCATGCTCCACGGAGCTGGCAGAAACCCCGCACCCTACCAAGTTGGCAGGGTGGGAACCCTGTGCTCCCAGGTGCAGCTGCAGCCACCCAGCTGCAGCTCTGAACTTTTTGACAAAAAGTCAAATAACCAAATTAAAAATGGGTATATTGTTTGGATAAGCATTTCTCTAAATAAGGGCACCCCTGCACTCTCAAGTGTCTGTGAAGCTCTCCTGACTCAACAAGCTCAGAAGTGCCTGCGCCTGCTTCTCCCCACTCCTGGCACCAGCTCTGATTTCGGAACAAAGTTGAAGCCAAGCCCAGGAGCTATCACTGAGAGGTGAAGCCAGCTGGACTTCTGGGTCGGGTGGGGACTTGGAGTTTTCTGTCTTACGAGAGGATTGTAAAATGCACCAATCAGCACTCCGTAGTTAGCTGGAGGTTTGTAAAATGGACCAATCAGCATTCTGTAAAATGGACCAATCAGCGCTCTGTAAAATGGACCAATCAGCACTCTGTAAAATGGACCAATCAGCAGGATGTGGGCGGGGACTAATAAGGGAATAAAAGCTGGCCACCACCCCCTCCCAGCCCACAGCTGCAACTCGCTGGGACTTGTGTACTGGAAGCTTTGTTCTTTTGCTGTTAACAATAAGTTTTGCTGCTGCTCACTCTTTGGGTATGTGCTGCCTTTAAGAGCTGTAACACTCACTGCAAAGGTCCCTGACTTAATTCTTGAAGTCAGCGAGACTGCGAACCTACTGGAAGGAACTGACTCTGGACATATCACAACCTGGCCAGATGTATGTGTGTGCTTGGGGTGGCTCTGTCACACCGTCCCCTTGTGCTGCTCTGGCCCACTTTGAAACTTTGGGCACCAAGGAGCTCAGGGAGGGAAGCTTGGGGCGGGGGTGTTGAAGGGAGCTTGGCAGGAACCACAGGGGCGCTGTTGAGGGTGTGTTGAGGGGAGGAGGCAGATGGGTGCTGGGAGTGGAAACGGTCCCTAGGGAAACCTAACATTCAAGCCAGGGATAAGCGGGGTCGTTTCTGAAACCGCACTTTCAAGCCAGGGATGACCTGAAACCTGGAGTGCAGGTTGCCAGTTGTGGGTGGAGTACGCAGCCAGGTGGGAGAACTTAATGCTTATTTGTCTGAGCTTGCCCATGGACTTCTCGGTTCCAATCAGCATGCACTTTCACCTTTCTGGGCGCATAAAGACTCTGGACTCAGGAAGACTATAAGAAATGTGGGGATGACTTGCCTGCCGAAAAGTGCTGCCTACTGCAGGTCATATTCTAGGAACAGCTCTGCTGCTCAATTACACTCCTCTCCACCTTGGTCACCCTCCCATTGTCTGTGTACCTCATTCATTGCAGGTGCGACCACTTTCCCCTAATCCAGA
The DNA here is from genome assembly GCF_000001405.40 of Homo sapiens. NCBI lineage: Eukaryota > Metazoa > Chordata > Mammalia > Primates > Hominidae > Homo > Homo sapiens. The sequence continues at coordinate 24,801,966 of NC_000015.10, read as the reverse complement.
TGCAGGTGCTCACAGCAGAAGCTGCATGTAGTACCTTTGGTCCAGCCACATCCTTGCATAGAGCTGGCGCCTGTGCTGGTGCCAGGAGCTGCCTGTCTCTGTGCAGCAGTCAGCATGTTTGGCTGTGCACAATGGCCGGACTCTGTACTTGCTCACGCACACACTTCTCACCACTCTGTGCCTGGCTCACCCTTGCCAGGTTTGGGATTTGGGCTGGTAGAACTATCTGAGCTCAGCCTGTTGGGCCAAGTGGGAGGAATGAATCCAGCAGGAGCAAGCAATACTCAGGAAGAAGGTGCTGCTGGCCACAGGTTTCCGGCTGGTGAAGTGACACGGCAAGAATCCTGTGGCATAAGGAATGCCATATAGATCAATGAAATAGAATAGAAATGTTGAAAAATTAATCCTGACATTTATCGTCAATGATTTTACAAGTTGCCAAGGCAATTAATTGGTGAAAAATATTTTTTTCAACAAATTTTGCAGGGACAAGCTAATGTCCACATTTAAATTGGACTCCTCCCTCATGACATATACGTGACTTACTGAAAATATATCACACACCTAAACGCAGGCTCTAAAACTACAAAACCTGTAGAAGATAGCACGGAAATATGTTTTTATGGCTAAGGTTAAACAGTGGTTTCTAAGATACCATTTTTGATGTTACCATCAAAAAAAGTGACAAAAAACATGTTTGTCTTCATCACAGTTAAAAGTTGTGATTCAACAAACACTATCAAAAAGTTGAAAGACAACTGAAAGAATGGGAAAAAATATTTGCAAGTTATATAGCTCAGTGTCCACTGTACAGAATATAGAAGTGATTCTCACAATTCCAAACAAAGGTCAAATATCCAAATTAAAAATGGGTATACTGTTTGGATAAACATTTCTCTAAATAAGCAATACACATGCCCAATGAACACCTGAAAAGTTGATTAATGCCATTAGTTCTTAGGGAAAAAGTCACCATAAGATACACTTTATGGCCAGGCATGATGGCTCACGCCTGTACTTCCAGCACTTTGGGAGGCCGAGGTGGGCGGATCACCTAAGGTCAGGAGTTCAAGACCAGCCTGGCCCACATGGTGAACCCCTGTCTCTACAAAATTCAAAAATTACTGGGGCATGATGGTGGGTGCCTGTAATTCCAGCTACTCGGGAGACTGAGGTGGGAGAATCGCTTGAATCCAGGAGGTGGTGGTTGTAGTGAGGTGAGATCACACCATTGCACTCCAGTCTGGGCAACAGAGTGAGACTCTGTCTCACAAAAAAAAAAAAAAAAAAAAAGCGCTTTACAAAATTAAAGCATATTTTAAAGTGAAGGAAGCCACTTTGAAAAGATTGCAGAGCATGTAACTCCGTTAATATGATACTCTGGAAAGGATAAAACAATGGAGATAGTAAACGGATTAGTGCTTACTAGGAACTTTCTAAGCGGGAAGAAGGCTCAATAGGTGAAGTACATGGAATATTTTTAGAGCAGTGAAGACATTCTGCATGATCCTGTAACGCTGCACGCATCATACTGTTTTTGAAACCCTACAGAATTTTATAAGTCAAAGAGTGAACCTAAATATATGAAAATTAAAAAAAAAAAACCTTATTTTTAGGTTGGGGGAATCCCATGAAGAAATGCAGGCAAGATAAGAAAAATGCATTACAAATGTATGAAAATAATCCCATTGACGGAATGGGGGAAAAAGGAGCTGATCTAAGCAACTTAGGAAATAAGTGGAGATTCTGAGTCTAATGGCCAAAGGAGTTGTCTATGAGCAGTGTATTTTAATTGGTAATGTTGTTTCCTATGGGAGTATGGATTAACAATGCTGAAGCCATCGTGCATGTATTATGGGACTCGATTATTACATAAAGGAAGCCAACTTTCTCTAGAGTAGGAGATTACACATAAGTAGTGGGAATGGGTAGAGACATTCATGTGTTGCAGGATGAAATCATGTGGTGATGGAGATTATCAGTAGGAATTCATGTTTATGTAGATATATATGGGAAAATGTAGAAATATTTACACAGGTGTTTATATAGGCAGGTTTGTATACACATGTACATTTCTTTTTTGTGTCAGCTGACAAGGCTTTGAATCTACAGACACTCCAGTAGCAATGAGTACGCTTGGTGGGCAGATCATTTCTAATTCCACTTTCCAATGAAATAAACTAGGATGCTTTGAAGAAATGGTGGATACTAGGCTTTGTCAGGGAGTGATCAAAATTTTACCTGGAGTACCTTCCACAGCCTGAAAGTAGGAAAACGTGAAACTGCAGCACAATCAACCAAACAAACTAAAACCAAAATGATGTTGGCAATTTTAAATGATACAGTAGTCAACTGAAAGACCTTCCAATGGTTAAGAATGGATCCATGGGAGCAATAATACACATGAGTGTAAGTAAAGCATAAAATAAATATTCATAATTTCATATAATCCCTATGGTATGGATACATTATTGAATTAATATGTGATAAATAGTGAAGAATCAACAAATTGTACATGGTGAAGAATTCCCAACTGTTTAAGATACTCCATTCATAAGGAAGTGGAACATGAATACTAGTTGTTAATATGTACTACGTATAGTAACTTATTTTCAAAAATGTAAAAATAAAGGGGAAAAATAATTTTACAGTGGGAAAATCTGACTACAACTGCTTGCCAAGGGGAACAAAATTACTATCAACGGTGATAAAGCATGTTGATAGTGTGCACCCTCGACATGATATGATGAGAATAACACTTACCTTCCGTGTTCTTCCTCCCTTAAACCCAGAAATCCAGTAAAATCATGAGGAAAACATCAGAGAAATCCCTAATTAGGGATGTCAGTGTCCTCAACAACAAGGAAAGTAGGGGAAACTGTCATAGGCATAGGAGCCCAAGGAGACACATGACATCTCAATGTGATGTGGGGTTCTGGATGGGATTCTGAAATGGAACATGGACATTAAGTGAAAGCTAAGGCATCTAAATAAAATGTGCATGTGGGCCGGGTGCGGTGGCTCATGCCTGTAATCCCAACATTTTGGGAGGCCAAGGCAGGTGGATCACCTGAGGTCAGTAGTTCGAGACCAGCCTGACCAACATGGTGAAACCACATTTCTACTAAAAATACAAAAATTAGCAGGGAATGGTGGTACACGCCTGTAGTCCCAGCTACTTGGGAGGCTGAGGCAGGAGAATCGCTTGAACCCAGGGGGGCAGAGGTTGCAGTGAACCAAGACTGTACCACTGCTCTCCAGGCTGGGTGACAGGGTGAGACTCCGTCTCAATAAATAAATAAATAAATAAATAAATAAATAAAATATGTATGTTAGATAAGGATAATGTATAATATTCGTTCATTAGTTACTACTATTGTCCCACACTAATAATAAAAATAGTTAAGAGTTTAATAAGGGAAACTGTACTACCTTAGCAAGTGTTGTGTGAATATAAACTATTCTAAAAAAGTTTATTTTTTTCTTAAGTCTTTGCCCAACTTAATGAACAAAATATTATCAATATTGTTGATGCCTCATTGATATAGGAATAGCACTGGGTTGTGGCAAGAGGATGAAAAACCAAAATAACAGCTAAAACATGAACCAGGTGAATAAACCAGAGGAAAACCCCAAAATAAGAGAGAGAAAATGGCCAAAATCCTTGTCAGGGTGACATGTCCATGACCCTTCCCAGCAAACCCAAGTAAGCAATAAAGGGTACAGTAACCGGGGGTCCCTGAAATCCCCTCCCTTTCCAGAATACCTAATGATTATTCCACCCCCTAGTTAAATAAACAGGCATAAAATAGGAAGGCTGAGTGGTCATATGAAAAAGAAGAAAATATCAAGCAGTAATTTCACATAACTTCAAGAAAGGATCTTTAAAATGAGCTACAAGGACAAGGACAAGCCCAGGCTGATAAGACTTTAATGGGCTAAGTTCGCTGAGACTGGCTGGGTCCAGCGTGGTGTTGGGTTTGACCCATGCCCTACCCCAGACCTAATAAGACATACTAAATCAAACACCCACCAGTGTCATGACATTTCACTTGTATATAAGCATTCATATGTACACACACACACACAGACACACACGACATATACCTAGTAATACATCATCAAATACATTGTTGCTGTCATTTCTTTCATCAAACTGTTATGTTAGATTTTACTAGGAAGATAAAAGTTTTTCTTCCCTAGGGCAACCACTAAAAAAGTAAAAAAAAAAAAAAAAAAAAAGTTAAAGAAGAGAAAATGGAGTCATATACAATTCTCAATTTAAACCACAAAAGGCAGAAAATGGGTGGAAGACAAAAATAGGACCAAAGAACAAGGGCAACAAATGGAAAACAGTAACAAATATAGTAGATATCAATCCAACTATATCAGTAATCACTTTGAATACCAATGGTAAAAATAAAACAATTAAAATACACAGATTGTCAGCCAGGAGCGGTTGCTCATGTCTATGATCCCAGCATTGTGGGAGGCCGAAGCACTGTCACCTGAGGTCGGGAGTTTGAGACCAGCCTGGCCAGCATGGTGAAACCCTGTCTCTCCTAAAAATACGAAAATTAGCCAGAAGTGGTGGCGCACACTTGTAATCCCAGTGACTTGGGAGGCTAAGATGTGAGACTTGCTTGAACCCAGGAAGCAGAGACTTCAGTGAACCGAGATCCTGTCATTCCAGTCCACCCTGTGTGATAGAGTGAGACTGTCTCAAAAATAAAATAAAATGAAATAAAATAAAATACACAGATTGTCAAAGTGAATTAAAAAAGACCCAGCCATATGTTTTATATAGGAAACCCATTTAAATATAAAGACAAATAAAAGAAAATTCAAATTAAAGCCATAGTGAGCTATCACATCACATCTCTGAGATAATAGGTGAGGTAATGCACAAAGTAACTAGCTAGAATTATCCCACGATGTATATAATACTTCAGACATAATGTTGTATACAGTAAATACATACAATTATACCTGTCAATTAAAAAATGTGAAGACACACCTAAATTAAAAGTATATGAATGACACAAAATATGTCATGCTAACAGTAGTTTGAGACCAGCCTGGCCAACATGGTGAAATCCTATCTTTACTAAAAATACAAAAATTTGCTGGGCATGGTGGTACACGCCTGTAGTCCCAGCTACTTGGGAGGCTGAGGCAGGAGAATTGCTTGAACCCAGGGGGGCGGAGAAAGCATGAATGAAAAGAAAGCACGAATAGCTATATTAATTTCTGAAAGGGTGGACTATTAGGCCAGGAAAATTATCAGGAATAAAGAAGAGCATTACATAACGATAAAGAGGTCAATTATTCAAGAAGGTATAACAATCCCTAACAAGTATGTAAGTCACAAAAGGGCTTCAATCTATGTAAGGAAGAAACTGTTAAAACTACGAGAAGAAATAGAAGAATCCACCATTATTTTTGGAGACTTCAGCACTCCTCTATCAGAAATCAATCCAGCAGGCAGAATTAGTAGGATTTGGCTGAATTCAGCAGCACCATCAACGGATTGGGGGTACAGTTGACATCTACAGACTACTTTACCCAACGATGGGTGTATTAGTTCATTTTCATGCTGCTGATGAAGACATACTCGAGACAGGGAAGAAAAAGGGGTTTAATTGGACTTACGGCTTCACATGGCTGAGGAGGCCTCAGAATCATGGTGGGAGGCAAAAGGCACATCTTACATGGTGGCAGTAAGAGAAAATGAGGAAGAAGCAAAAGTGGAAACCCATGATAAAACCATCAGATCTCGTGAGACTTATTCATTATCACAAGAATAGCACAGGAAAGACCGGCCCCCATGATTCAATTACCTCTCCCTGGGTCCCTTCCACAACACATGGGGATTCTGGGAGATGCAATTCCAGTTGAGATTTGGGTGGGGACACAGCCAAACCATATCAATGGCAGAACACACAATCTTCTCAAGCCTACATGAACCGCTCATCAAAAGAGAGACCACATTCTCCTCCATAAAACACACCTTAACAAATGTAAAAGAATAGAAATCATATAATATATAAACTCAGGTCAAAATAGAATTAAAATTGAAATTAATAAAGGGATGATAACTGGTAAAATACATGGATATTCAATAGCAGAGTTCTAACTATCACATGGGTCAAAGAAGGAATCTCAAGAGAAATTTAAAAATATATTTCGAACTAAATTTAAAGGAAAACACAACTTATCAAAATTCATGGGGTGCAATCAGGGAGCTTGGAGGGATATTATAGCCTCAAATATATATATTAGAAAAGAAGAAATCTGTCCAGGCACGGTGGCTCACACCTGTAATCCCAGCACTTTGGGAGGCCAAGGCTGGTGGATCACGAGGTCAGGAGTGTGAGACCAGCCTGGCCAGCATGGTGAAACCCCATCTCTACTAAAAATACAAAAATTAGCCGGGCGCCTGTAATCCCAGCTACTTGGGAGGCTGAGGCAGGAGAATGGCGTGAACCCGGGAGGCGGAGCTTGCAGTGAGCCGAGATCCCGCCACTGCACTCCAGCCTGGGGGACAGAGCGAGACTCCGCCTCAAAAAAAAAAAAAAAAAAAAAAAAAAAAAAATATATATATATATATATATATGTCATCAAAATTTTCACCTTAGAAACCTTTAAAGAAAAGTGTATCAAGTTAAATCCAAAGTAAACGGAAGAAAAATATAATATGCCAATATAGAGAAAACGAAATAAAGATAAAGCCTACTGGAATTTTTAAATGACTAGTGACAGCTTAATAGTTTATGGAGCATAAACGTGTCGAATGTTACCTAAGAAAATGCAATACCCCAAACTGAACGCTTGCTTAGGGTCATGCAGAGGTGATCCACTCTGAAATTAGGAGACACGAATCTATGATCAACCTAAGCATGCAAAGCGGGGCAAATTAATTTGGTTCCAAAGTTGGGAAATACGTTAATTATGAATAACCCACCAAAAATAAATTGAAGTATTGCTATGTATACAAAGAAAAGGGTGTGAGAAGAGAGTCAAAATACATGTGACACTCCAAGAAACATGAAATAATCATGAGATTTTGTAGGAAAATATCGAAGAACATGTGAGGGGACATGCAGGCACCGATTGATGGGTGAACATGTGCATGTCCTTGGAGAAAGTCCCATAAAGGCCTGCGCACCCCACCCACCCCCACCCTCTCTGCATTTCCCCTCCTGCAGTGCCTGTGTGCCTTGCATTGGGTTTCTTCTGGGGCCAGGTGTGGACCCCCTTATTTCCAGCTGCCTGTGACGTTGCTCTCACCCTGTAGTGTATTGATACCAGGCGGCCATGAGCCAGCCACTGTGAATTTTCAGATCCTTGGATCCCACCGACACCTGCAAAATGACTGAGCAGACAGGAACCTCTCTGTCCTTTCCACTCTCACTCCTCCTCAGCACCAACTCCTCCGGTCCCCTCTCCACAGTGGACAGGGACCATCCTCACATGTTCTGACTGTCTTACTGTCTTTTCTGATTGGATGACCTCATGGACTTGGGGGAATATTTTTTTGTTTGTTTTTGTTTTTTGAGATGGGGAGTCACGATCTGTCGCCTGGGCTGGAGTAGAGTGGCGTGATCTCGGCTCACTGCAAGCTCCGCCCTCCCGGGTTCACGCCATTCTCCTGCCTCAGCCTCCCAAGCAGCTGGGACCACAGGCGCCAGCCACGACGCCCGGCTAATTTTTTGTATTTTTAGTAGAGATGGGATTTCACTGTGTTAGCCAGGATGGTCTCGATCTCCTGACCTTGTGATCCGCCCGTCTCAGCCTCCCAAAGTGCTGGGATTACAGGCGTGAGCCACCGCACCCAGCATGGGAATATTTCAAAGAAGAAAACTGAGTCATTCAAATCCCTCCCCACAGAATGCAGTCCTCAGGAAGCGGCCCTCCCTCCCCTGCCCAGTCCCTCCGTGGTCTGCCCTTCTGCCTCCTCACATATTACTCATCCCAGCGGTCCTTCCAATCCACTGCTCTCTTCTTATGGCCTGGCCTGTGCCACGGACACACTGTTTCCTCTTCGCTTTCCTTCCCCTGTCTATTGTACTCACTGCTCCTCACTCTCCAGAATCTCTTCCAATGCTCCTCCTCCTGGAGGCCTCCCTTCTCCATCCCATCCCAGGTCTGATGCCTGTCCCCTGAGTTCTGAGGAGCTGATCTATCATCTACAGTTTAGTTTCTGTTACATTTTCTGAATCACTACTTGACTGAAATATCAGAGAAAATGGAAACTTTTATCTGTGTTGTTCCTCTGTGAGCCCCTCACATGTGATAAACAAAAAGCAACACAGAACATTCTCCTTTATATTGAATCTCACAAATGAATTAATGGATCAGTCAAATGCTTAACTACATTCTTACCTAATTAACGATAAAGTACAACTCTCTTTCAATCTGAAATGACTTGAACTTGAAGATGAACCTGGTTCTTGTGCCCCTTTCTTTATTCAGGTCAGGATGTGAGCCCTGACTTACCCTCAGCCTCTTCTCCAGCCTCTCCATCCTCAATCCACTGCAGAGCCCCTCTCATGGGCCTGGTTGCTTGCTCCATCCTCCTCATCTGCCCCTCTTTTGTCCTTCTGGACAGTGTTGCCTTCGTAGAAACCGAGGAAAATTGTCTTGTTCTCCAAGATTCACCTCTATTAATATGACTTCCTTGATAAACATTTCCAAATTTTTGCTAGCTGCTGTATTTCACCATTTTTGCTATTTTTTTCTTTCAAATTTTATCACAGTAGTTGTTATCCTGGTGGCAGTCATTACTTGGTTTTCATTTTCATTGTTCATTTTCATTGTATATAGATGAATTTGTCCTGAACTTTTACATTGTCATCTTCTTGTAAGATCATGTGCATCAGAATTTGCATAATGGGTGTCAGCAGGAAAAGTGGAAATCACACAATGACGCAGCCTCTTTTATTAAAAAATGTTTCATTGCCTTTACTTTTGTGTGTGGGTGTGTTGAGACAGAGTCTTGCTCTGTCGCCCAGGCTGGAGTGCAGTGGCGTAACTTGGCTCACTGCAACCTCCGCCTCCCGGGTTCAAGCAATTCTCCTGCCTCAGCCTCCCGAGTAGCTGAGATTACAGGCATGCACCATCATGCCTGGCTAATTTTGTATTTTTAGTAGAGATGGGGTTTCACCATATTGGCCAGGCTGGTCTCGCACTCCTGACCTCGTGATCTGCCCACCTTGGCCTCCCAAAGTGCTGGGATTACAGGCGTGAGCCACCGTGCCCAGCCTGCCTTTACTCTTTAGGCCACAGAGGGTGATGTTAAAATATTCATAGCCCTGGATTAAAATCTGATTTGGAACCATCATAATCAGAATTTTAAGATATTTGCAAACCCATTTATAAATTAATTTCAATATTGCTTTCATTTTTATGTAAATAAAATTCAAGTTTCTATAGTTCTAGAGGGCGTTTTCCATTAGTGTAAAATAGGCCCTTATGTGTATAATACACTTTTCTGCTGCAAAGTATAATGCAATTTTCAATGACAGTCTGCTTATACAATGGTGGTTCCACAAGATTATTATGGAGCTTAAAAAAAGTACTTCCTAATGATGTTGTAGGCATTTGTCGTAGTAAAATTACTTTTTTTTTTTTTTTTTTTTGAGACAGAGTCTCACTGTATTACCCAGGCTGGAGGGCACTGGTGCAATCTTGGCTCATTGCAACCTCCACCTCCTGAGTTCAAGTGACTCTCATGCCTCAGCCTCAAGAGTAGCTGAGATTACAGTTGTGTGCTATGATGCCCGGCTAATTTTTTTTTTTTTTTTTTTTTTTTGTATTTTTGGTAGAGATGGGTTTTCGCCATGTTGGCCAGGCTGGTCTCGAATTCCTGGCCTCAAGTGATCTGGCTACCTGGGCCTCCCAAAATGCTGGAATTACAAGTGTGAGCCACTGCAACTGGC